>NC_000004.12:80285017-80436532 GCF_000001405.40 Homo sapiens | reverse complement strand
CAGGAGATTGAGACCATCCTGGCTAACACGGTGAAACCCCGTCTCTACTAAAACATACAAAACAAAATTAGCCGGGCATGGTGATGGGTGCCGGTAGTCCCAGCTACTCGGGATGCTGAGGCAGGAGAATGGCGTGAACCTGTGAGGCGGAGCTTACAGTGAGCTGAGATCGCGCCACTGCACTCCAGCCTGGGCAACAGAGTGAGACTCCGTCTCAAAAAAAAAAAAAAAAAAAGATATCCCACATTTTGTACCCATCAAGTTTCCTCACAGCCCATTTATCAGATATAAGTCACATGGCCACACCTTGCTTTAAGGGAAGTAAGACAACTTACCATATTTTTGGAAATCCTAACTAAAAATCAGGTGCTACATCACTGTGAAAGCAGGAGAGAATGGAAATTTGCATGCAGTTAACATTCTTTGCCACAGTCTGTCCACGTTGCAACCCAAGTATCTATGCAGTCTCTCTTACTTACATGGAGCATATTTGTCACCTCCACAGAGAGGAAACTTCCAAATCTCATCAATTACTGCACCCAGCTGAAAGTCCCTCTCATCTGGTGATGTGTAGCTCTTTACATTAAAGATAGATATGGGGCCTCATGGTTTGACAACCTATAAACTAAAATAAAAGTTTATATTTCCCCAGCACACACAATACTCAAGGCTTGTAAAGAAATTGGATATGGCCATCTAAACTGCCCCTCATGAGCAAAAAGGGGAATTGATAGACACATGGTAGTCCCTGGACTGTGACATTAATCACATCCCACTAGGTAGGAATTACAAATATTCCCTGATCAACCATGGAGTAAGTCCCTTGGTAAGGCCCATCTGGAAGTCTCTAATTCAAAGCCCTTTGCTCAACCCTCTGCAAGGTGCTTTTCTATCTTGTGTCCTCCCTTGCCATGAATCAAGTAGACATTACTGAAATCATTCTTCTTGGGAGATTGCAATGTTTTTGTAGCCTGCTTCTTGCTGGTCCAAGTTTGGCAGCCCAGAGATTTCCTTAGGGGTTGAACAATTACAGGCTTTTTCAGGCCATGTTGTTGTTCTTTATCCATACAATTCCCTCAAAAACTTAGTAAGCTTGTAGGCAATTTGTTTTGGATTAGTTCCATATATTAAGTAACTATAGCCAAAGATCTAATTTGAACGTAGTGTTCAAACCTAAAGATGCTTGCCTTTCCTTATTACCCTGTGTGCTTGCTCACCCCCTCTCTGGATGGAAGATACATTCAGGCTATCTGAGCCATTTTGTTTGGGTGGGAAAGCAATACCCTTAATTTTATTTTGCCTCTGGTCTGGCTCCCAAATCTGGCAGGGCATTGAGCTTATCTCCTACTAAGGCAGTGGCTTTGAAGCCACCAATTATAATTCCTTTGGTTTGAAGTACAGGAAAAGTTGCCTTTTTCAACCCTTAAAGTCCTCAAATTATAGTACTCTCTGTGAAATTATGTTGCTAACCCAGCAAAAAACCTTTCTTAACAGAACTGTATTCCTTTCCACCTCCACTTGCATACTAGCTAACTCTAGACTACCTTCATCTCTTTAAAAAGATTTCACTAAAAGAGCAAAAGCAGTCAACACTTTGAGATTCTGCTGCTTTCCTGTGATTTTCCCTAATGTTTGGTCTCAGCTTGTGGAGTGCCTTCTAAGATATAACAACCGACAATTATACCAGTGCTTTGCCTCAGCATCCTTAAGGATCAATCAGCTTTTCTGACTCCAATATCTGTGTCTCCTCCTCCCGCCTACCAAATGCTAAATATAATACATCACATATCTAGGTTATACCTCTTTATGCACCCAAATTGTGGCATCAAATTCTGTCTTAGGATGTAGGTTTGGCAGAGACTCAATCACAGTTCATAAAGAAAACAGAGGTTTAGTGCTTGTTCATTATATTCTGAAAATGGTAGTCCAGGGCTCTTACAGGCGATGCAGGCTTTTTATATATCACATAACTTTGTCATCTCTAAGGTATTGCTCTTATCTACATGGTGGAATATGACTCATCAGCACTTTTAAACACCACTGTTAAAAGTATTTAAAATACACTTTTTAAAGCAGCAGGATGAGGAAAGGGCAGCAAAGATGTAACATTTCCTCTTTTTGAAGATATGTCTGGAAGCTGCACAAATCACCTCCAAAGGAGCTTGGGAAATGTAGTCCTTACTCCATAGCAACAGGTCCTGCTACAAAACAAGAGTCCTTTCATTAAGGGAGAAGGGAAGAATGGATATCAGACAGCAAAAAGTATTTTTTCTACAATTTTAAGAAAGAGACTTGCTTATTTTAATCTAATATGTTGGGGTATTGTGAACCAATATTTGTAACAACAATAAGAATTAAGTTGACTAGAGCATTATTTTAACAACACCTGCTGCTCTAATGATGTTTATAGAATATTTTTAACATCTAAAATACAAATTTTAATATAAATAAATGTAAATTTACAGCTTATCTTTTGTATTAATGCCTGATACATAACAGGCATTTGGTAAATAGTTGTTGAATGAAATAAAGAATGAACTGACCAATTAAAAAGTTGTATTGAGCACTTGCTATGACACTATAAATGTGTTACACATTGAAGAGACTTTTTAAGTATGACACATGATCTCAAACAGAAGAGGTTGACAGCATTTTTACCTGATGATACTGGTTACAAAATTCCCAGTGAGTGTAGAGAAAATAAACTTTTCCAAATTAAACTGTTGTCTTAATGTAATATTATAACTTCAAATAATTTTTAATTGGGTATCCTCTTTTTAACGTGCTTGAAAGAAAAAGTTACTCTGAGAGCAAATAAATTAATTACTACTTATTTATAAAATGTTACATTGTACAAAGTTGGTAGCCAAATACTCCATACTTAAGATTTTAGCAAAAAAAATTACATGTGACCTATAATTATTTGCTTAAAATTTGATTTTTTAAGTAATTTAAATCAGTGACAACCAAGTGAACTATTTATTTACAATCATTAAAGCCATCTGTGCTTTTATTTGAAGAATAAAATATTCAATTATAGTTTTGAGAAACTGAGAAAAGCAGAACTCGAAGTGTTCGTTTTTTTAAGGTAAAGTATTCTTTCTATTTTCCCACAAATGTTTCTCTTTCTTATTTTTTCATTCTTAGGAGCAGAATTAAGCTATCACCACAGATCATGTTCAGGAATACACAGCTGTACATATTGAGATATTTAGAAGGTGGTTTATGAATTAAGAGAAATGTATCATCTATACACATAAAATGCTTGTTTTAATTACTCAAGTACAGGGTACCTCCATGGTTTCCAGAATATAACACCTTGGGATAAATAATGTAACTTCAGCCTTTTATGAATCTTTTTTTTTCCTCTGTGGTTTTTCATAGGTAGGAACTAACAGATGAACAGGATAAATTAAGGACAATGAGTTCAGAAAAATAACTTTTCAATATCTGCCATGCCACATCAAGAACAGGTATCTTTTAAAGTCTTCTTGATGAGAGTAAATCTTTGTTCTCTGAGAATGAACAAAGTCAATCAGTGCTCTATCAGGAATATAAGATGAGTAAAGAAGGTGAGAGGTATTTTTAATTAAAAATAAACATTGATGAAAATATTCTGGGAAAGATGGGAAGCTAAGAATACTTATTCCCCTCCCTCCAACTCTAGATTTTTATTACCTTGCACAGAAAGTATATAAAAAATAGAGTGTAGGCCGGGCACGGTGGCTCACACCTGTAATCCCAGCACTTTGGGAGGCCGAGGTGGGTGGATTAGAAGATCGAGACCATCCTGGCTAACACAGAAACCCCATCTCTACTAAAAATACAAAAAATTAGCCAGGCGTGGTGGTGGGCGCCTGTAGTCCCAGCTACTCTGGAGGCTGAGGCAGGGGAATGGTGTTAACCTGGGAGGCGGAGCTTGCAGTGAGCTGAGGTTGAGTCACTGCACTCCAGCCTGGGCGACAGAGTGAGACTCCGTCTCAAAAAAAAAAAAAAAAATAGAGTGTAAATTGCATGTGAACTGAAAAACTTGTGCTAAAAAGACTGTCTTTTAGAAATAGCATAAATAAAACAAATGAAAGGGCCGGGCATGGTTGCTCACGCCTGTAATCCTAGCACTTTGGGAGGCCAAGACAGGTGGATCACAAGATCAGGAGTTCGAGACCAGCCTGATCAACATGGTGAAACCCCGTCTCTACTAAAAAATACAAAAATTAGCCAGCCATGGTGGCGCGTGCCTGTAATCCCAGCTACTCAGGAGGCTGAGGCAGGAGAATCACTTGAACCCTGGAGGGGGAGGTTGCAGTGAGCTGAGATGGCACCATTGCACTCCAGCCTGGGCGACACAGCAAGACTCCATTTCAAAAAAAACAAAAAATGAAATAACTAAGTGTTGACTCCTAATATTTTGCAATCATAAAATAGTTTCCATTTTGATTTTCTTTTAGATTTTCCTATCTATAAGTGAGATTATTACATTAACTTATTCAAAAAATACTTACTGTGTTATTTTTGTGAACCAAGTGGGCCTTGTTATTCAGAAAATGTCCCTATCCTTATAGAGCTGACAATGAATTGGCATAGAGAACAACAAACTCTTCTGTGAAAGTAGCACAGTATCACAGGAAGTAGAGGAAAGCCATCCAGGACCATGTTGGCATGCTGCAGCCCCAACACTCACTATTAGAACAAGCCACTCCCAAAACAGAATAATTTTTATAGCCACATATCAATGGCATTCAATGGCTACTGAGCTGCCAGCTGCAGAGTTTGAACAATAGGGTTAATGAGCAGTGACCCCGAAGGTGAAGAGGCTTCTCTGTGATGTCCTAGTTTGACAATGCCTCAGGAAGACTAGACACAGCTTTTCCCTATAACCAAGCGGCTGCCAATCCAAACAGAGGGCTAGATATAGAAAATTGGCCTTAACTCAGTGGCTTCTCCAAGTTTCTTAAGAAAAATAAAAGGAGAAGAAGGAGAAGGGGAAGGGAAAGAAGAGAAGGACGAGGGAGAAGAGAAGAAACAGGAGGAGGAGGAGGAGGAAACGGAAAGAAGGGAAGGAGTGAGGGAGGCAAAAAGGGAGGCAAAGAAAGGAAGGGAGGAAGGGAAAAAAGGAGGGAGGAAGGAAGAAAGGAAGAGAGGGAGGAAGAAGGGAAGGAAGGGGGGAGAGATGGAGGGAAAAAAGGAAGGAAAGAAGGAAGGAAAAGAACAGAGAGAGGGAATGAGGAAGAAAAGCCTTGCAAATATTTGGTTCCTCTTCTACTAGAGGCCCACATTGCATTGAGTCCGGAATGCCAGATACCATTCCAGTTACTGAACAAAACAGATAAAACATCCTGCCCAAGGAGCTCACATTCTAGTAGAGGAAGGAGGTAGCAATAACCACAAAGTAAGTACAATATGTACTATGTTAGACAGGGTAAATGCAACCAAGAAAACCTTAACAGGGAATATAGATAAGGAAGAGACAGCTGCTGTGAAGGAAGAGGGCAGTAATTTTTAAATGGATTGGTCAGAGGAGGTCTCACGAAGGTGAATGTGGGAAACAAACCTGAAGGATGTGAGGGACTAAACCATTTGGGTATCTGGAAGAAAAGGTTCCCACAAAAAAAGGCCCTGGTGTTGGACAACATCTGGAGGACCAAAGGAACAGCAAAGAGGCTAGAATGGCTGAAGCGGAGAAAGCTAGGGCTAATGAGGTAAAAAGATGATAGATTAGATAGAGATGTGCTGAGAGAGAAAGAGAGAAGCAAATAATAATTCCTAGATTTTTGGCTGGGGATGCCATGTACTGAATGGAAACCTGCAGGATGAGCAGGTTTAGAAGGGATGCTCAGGAGTCTCTATGTACTAGATAGTCAAGAGGAGGAGTGGAGTAAACTGATAATGAGAACGGCGTTTAGGGGAGAGATCTGATTGAAGACTAAGAAGTAGGAAGTTGTTAGAGAGTGTATTTGAAGCCCTGCTAATGAACACATAATCAAACATCCTTGTGACCTAAGTCAAATATGCAATGAAGGCAAGCTAGAGAAGTTCAAGGACTGATCCCCAGAGCACCTCAACATTAAGAAATTCAGAGGATAAAGAGGAACCAGCAAAGGAAATTGAGAACGAACAGTCAAAGATGAAAACTTGGGAAAATCCCAAAGCTAAGTGAAGAAAGTATTGCAAGGCAGAGAAATAGATCAGCAGTGTCAAATGCTGCCGACAAGTCAAATAAGATGAGGACTGAGAACTGGCCAATGGATTTGTTTGTTTTGTTTATTGTCCTCAATCTCACTGTGATGAAAACTTCATTATGCCAAGAATTTTTTCTGTGTTTGTCATTAATAAATTCTCAGGGACTAGAACAGTACCTGGTACATAATTCATGTTTAGTAAAAAATATATTAAATAAATGAATCTCATTTATGAATAAAAATATGAAAACCCAAAATAAAATATAATGGAAAATACTGTATAGTCATAAAATGCTTATTAGATTTAAAAATGTAGAAGATTGCTATAAAGCTTCATATTCTAGATAGCACCAATTGGAAATTCAAAATTCAGAGTGAGTGATGGTATACATAAAAAAAAACTTGGAAATAAACATAAAATTGTTTACTCCTAATGCCCTCTTTAGCATCCAGATTATTTATTTTACCTAAGCCTTGTGCCTTTACAAATATGGCCATTTTTTTTTAACAATGACATATTACAAATTAAAATACTTAACCCCAAATCAACTTCTTTCAAGAAGCAACATTTCACTCTATTAAAAGACATTAAAGAACTCCACTAGAATCATATAGAATCATAGTTATGATTACAAATCTGCTGAATAACTATTACATAGTTATTATGATTGACTATGATATAGTTATTCAACATTTCATAGCATGCTCATGTTCTTAATATCAAATTTCAGAGTAATGCTATAATAACCAAGCTCAGTCCACATTACCCAAAGATGTATAAAATTTCCATAAAATTGAGCTCACAGTTAAAAATGACATAAAATTTCAGCACCACAGCCACCAAAATAAATTAACAAGTGTGGAATGTTGATGGCACAGTAAAATGCAACAGAAATGTGTCATTAAATGAAGTTAAAGGAGAAACATTTCTGGAAAGTTCCTAATTAGATTTTATACTAAGATACATAAGATATATCTTACCAATTTTATAATTGTTTAAAATATTTCTGTTCTCAATGATACAAGTAAAATATGTATTTTCTCTCCAATTTATAGGCAAAAGACTACATGATTCTTTCAATTAAATGTGCCCTTATTGTTTCATTATTGTTTCAACAAGGCTAATAAAGAGTTAATATTATTCAGATAAATAACTCCAGAGCAATTAGTCCCAGCTGATGAGTGATTTTATAATATTCGTTGAATACTGGGTGGGATGTATGGAAACCTACCAGAATTTTCACAGGCAATTTGCCAGAGAAAGCTCATCAAGAAAACAGTACTGTAATTTCAACTTTGAACTCTGAACTATACATTGTGTGAACTTGTCAAATGCTCATCCCATAAATAACCTCATGCTCTTTCTAAAAATCTTGCCAAATAGAATGAATCTGATTTACTGGAAAAAAATGTTTAAGGCCAAGAAAAACACACACATTGTGTACAGAGTGTCAATAATTCTGGAAATATTAGTTTACCTCTATTCATGTTTTCATTTTAAAAGAATGCAATGTTGGCCTGGTGTGGTGGCTCACGCCTGTAATCCCAGCACTTTGGGAGGCCAAGGCAGGCAAATCATGAGGTCAGGAGTTTGAGATCAGCCTGACCAACATGGTAAAACCCCCATCTCTACTAAAAATACAAACAAAAAAAAAAAAAATTAGCGAGGCATGGTGGCAGGCACCTGTAATCCCAGCTACTCGTGAGGCTGGGGCAGGAGAATCACTTGAACCCAGGAGGCAGAGGTTGCAGTGAGCCAAGATAGCACCACCGCACTCCAGCCCAGGTGACAGAGTGAGACTGTCTCAAAAAAAAGAAAGAAAAAAAAGCAATGTTATTCCTGCTGAAATACTTTTAACATAGTTAGTTCATTTTTCTCACGAGGAAACATTTTCTTCATATGTTACTATATTTATGCATTATTTTCCCAGAGTAATTCAGCTGGTTAAAACATGCTGCTACTAAGGTGGAGGTGCAGATTACTACAGATAAAGAATACTCCCTGCCTGTTTCCAATTTAGAATAGGCTTTTTCTAAAAAGACATTGAATGAATAGGGATAGTAGCAGAATGAATGTAGGAACTTGGCTCAAATTAAGAATTAAACTAGAAACAAAAGGACAGTCATTTATTAGAGGAGATATAGTATGTAGCCAAGGAATAATAGCATCAGAATAGATACCAAAAGAGGTAACAAAAACAGGGGTAAGGTGTAGAACCACTCTACAAACTCTGCCAAAAACTCACTTCTTTGAGTTCTGTTTTTATTGAGCCACTAGTTTCTGCAGTGGCTTGCTGTCTAGCATATTAACTTTATTGTCTCCTGAGAAATAAAAAGGTTGAAATTAAGAGCTGTTCCTTACAATCGCCCAATGGTTCTTTGTTTTTCACTGTATCTAATATGTGGCAAATGGTAGTTATTTAATGACCATTTGTGAATTAATAGATAAAAATTAATAAATATCAAAAATCTGAAGCAATAAAGAAAAATAAAGTTTAAATCACTATTAATATCTAAAAATAAAGAAATTCTAAGCATTATAGGCAGTTGAAATAAAAATAAAATGTCCTGAATGCCTTCACCAATGTATTCTAATGTATTTTTCTATCTTGTTTCAACACTTAAGTTGCTGTTTAATGCAGCTCCTTGATTTAGAAAGGGAAAAACAACCTAACAGTGGCAATTACCTCCTATGTAGGAGTGAGTATTAATCTTTCACGGGCCACATAACTCTTTGAGGATCCAATTTTAAAACAATGAGCCCTTTCTACAGAAATGTGCATATCACACACAAAATGCCACACACAATTTTGGGACTATTCATGTCATTTATTGAAACCTGAAAAGGTCCGTGAGATTCAGGTTAAGAAGACTTCACATAGGAAAGAACAGCCAAGTTAAAGATTTGTTACTACTTTTAAAAGGTAAGAAAAGATTAGTTATATAATTGCATAGCAATAATAATATTTCACACATATAGGCACTAAATAAATTAAATTTATATTTCCAAACCTAAAATTGATCTTAAAAGATAACAGTAGGCTAAAAATGTTAATCAGTGATATACAAAGTAAAATAAAATAAAATAAAATATGTTGGTGGAAAGGAATTATATGGTTAAATAAGCTGGAGAAATGCTGGATTAAACAAAATTAAGCAGGTGTTCCTTACTATACAACTTTTCAGAGTTGTTGTTATATGAATACAGAAAAATGAGAGATTACTATAGCATTTCCTCAAATTCTTTTGCTTGTGATATCCCGTTTTCCTCAAAGCATCTGTTGTTGGAAATTATTTTACTGATGACAAGTTTGATAAGAACGATTGCTTTAATTAATACTCATTTTGAATGGACATAAGCCTATAGATCTACATTTTATTACTCTTGAAAGAAACCTAGATATCAACATAAAAGACAAATAATACTCAAAAACTATTTAGAAAAAAATCGTTTTATACTCACACACAAAAAGTTTTTTCTTTGAATTAACTACAAGGATTAAGAGTGTCAGGACAGAGTCATAGGTAACAGGAAGAAAACCGAGGCTTAAAGCTGTTGATACTTTCCCCACAGTACCTTGTTAAGAAGTGGTGAAACCAAGAATCTAACTCAGGCATTCTAATCCAAAACACTTGCTCTTAACCACTATCCAATGTTTGTTAAATTTGTTTGAGCATAAGAATCACCAGAAGTGCTTGCTAAACATATAGAGTCCTAGGCCCCTCTCCCTGGAGATTCTGGTTTGGTAGGGCTGGACGACCCAAGAATCAATTTTAGTAAGAAACATGTGCAGAAGATTCTTATGAACAGGCAAGTTTGGAAAACCTCAAACCAGCAATGCTGAATCTCTGAAATTCTAATGTATGTATAACCTAAATTCACTGTATTCTAGCTTGTAGATTTACTTTTTTCTTGAGGATGAAGAACAATAGATAGTTTCATTTCCATTCCTTTTAGAAATTCTTAGAAAACTCCATATTCCAATATAAAAACTATCAAAAACCTTCCAGAAAACATAGCAAAACATAATGTAATGATCATATTAGCATATATAGTAAATATAAATGGCTATTAAATATAACATCTTTTTTCCTTTCATAGTTCCCTTCAAAAAACAACTGAGAATATGTCTATTAAATAAGCATGAATATGTTCAGATAAATATAGAAATAGTTAACATGTTAAATGTCAGACTGTCTTTTAAAGTCAAACTAAAAAAAAAAAACAAGAAAACTAAAAGCTCTGGTAACTCTATTAGGCTGTCTTTGGTGGTCAATTTTATTAAACATACTGATGTGCTCAAAATTTCTATATACATAGCTGTTGACTAAATGATCCCTTTCTTTTGTGTACTTGCACAAAAACCCAACTTCATCCACAAATTCAAACACATACATATGCATATTTGAAGCATTTCTGGTGAGATGGGCTTTCATCAAGCTTGTTTACTAGACATTTTCACTTTAACCAAAGAGTCTGCTATTTTTACACAAGACTATAATCATTCCCCAGTGTAAAATCACTCCCTAAGCTGTTCGGTGGCTTAATTGGCAACACCACCCTTTTACTAACAACTCCACAAAAAGGAAATGTTTTTAAACAGTGAATATGTAACAAGGCAACATGTGATTAAAATTCAGTACATTATCTCTCTCGAATTTTATTACTGCAGGTGCAGAGCACAACTGTTCGGAGGCTTGCTAAAGGCAAGTTTCCCTTTCATGGGAAACAATGCTATTTATACATCTGCAAAAGATTCTAAGTGAAAAGACCTAGGGATGGATAATGGAATGAGAAAATAACACTGAACATTATCCTCACAGAAGCCTGAATTAGTCCTTCCCCAAGGAAAAGGAAGGGGTGAGGATGATCCTTGATCTAACAAAGGTATCCCCAAAGCTACTTGCATTCTCAGAAATTTATGAGTAGTAATAAATGTCTTAGATAAGGGGAAAATAATTTGTATCCTTCCCCAATGGAGAAATCATTACCAGGAGCAAGACCTAAGAATTTGTTCCATGTGGCTTGTTAGGCAGTTACTCATATGTAAGGCATCGGACTGGATATACAGTGCAGAAAAAAATACCATGTGAAAGAGTATGAGGTAGGCCTTGCAAGAGGTTAAAAAATTATTAACAAATAGAAATACTAAGTTAATCTATTTCCTCTGCCTTCATGGCCTAATCACCTCTCATTAGGTCCCACCTTCCAACACTGTTGCATTGGGGATTAAATTTATAACACACGCTTTTTGGGGGACACCTTCAAACCACAGCAACAGACATACCGTATGTCTTAGAGGGCTTGTAAATTCTTGGACCATTAAAAGGGATAATGTCCTCCCACAAGTAGATGGGCACCGAAGAGTCTCCTGGAAGTAATGGACACCATTCCTTCTACACTATCCGTGGACTATGTGCTGGTTCTGGCTGGGCTCCCCAAGAGTATGCAGGGCCCCTTCCATATAAACAATTTGATTAAATCCATTAAGAAATCACAAAACTATGCAATGTTTAGTGATTGACGACAGTTTAATATAATGGGTAGAGAAGAGGTTCTTAAATATATTTTTTTGTATCGTCCAGTCAGTGAATGTGAAGATTCCTCCTAATGTCTAGGTAATGATCATCTCTTCCTCAGTAGGTCCAGAAACTGTGTCTTCATGTTCTTTATTGTTATATGCTGTTCTTGGTTAATTTCCTATCACTCTCAGCAAGAAAAAGGTAGTAACACAATTATCACTCATAATGCCATGCTTCTTTGGAACTTGTGTGTATTGAAACAATATAGATCTTCTTGTCTCCACAGTTTCCTAATTTCAGTTCTTTCATATTGATTACATCATCTTTGAGAAGCTGCCTCATCCTCAGTGCCTCCCATAAATGCTGATCGCCAGTGACCCTCAAGAGATGACACTGTGTTTTACTGATGATGACCACAAAAGCAAGTTTTACCCAGATAGTGCAGAAAAATGTAAACAATAATTCCTTTTCTGGTCATATTATACTTATCCTGCCTCTTCTTGAACTCTTTAGGTCACAATCACTCCATTCCTAGAATGTGATCCCTTTTAATGCTGAAACTGCAACCTTGCCTTCCACATACCACCACGTGGGAAGGTTAAGGGAAGAGCCATAGTCAGAGAAGGAAGAGTGCCACTGAAGCAAAGAATTTCCCTTCCTCTTCCAAAATGGCTTAAGACTGGAAGCAAAGAATTTCCCTTCCTCTTCCAAAATGGCTTAAGACTGATCAGGAGGACACACATCCACATAGAAAAGAAACAAGAGAGGATATCCATCAGGAGGGCCCATTGAGAGTTACAGAGCAATGATCTCTAAAGTTCTTGGACAGTCTGGGGCATGGCCACCCGGAAGGACCACCTGCAGAAAGGTGAGTGACTGCCTTGGGAGCCAGCAGTGAAAGATCCTCTGTCCCTCAGGTGCAGTAGACTGAAGGTGGCCTTCTCCCTTGGAACACAGACAGCTCATAGGCCCCCACATGCAGTTCCAGCTCAAAGCTCAGCCAGTCTCCCAGAGCCTTGCCTTTGTCCATTTTTATACAGTGGGTGAGTCACCCATAATGAACATTTCAGCACCATTCTGGCAGCCCAATCTTGTACACAGTGAGAGAAAGAAACACTGACCAAGTCAGAGGAGAGATCTGCTCGCCAGACTGCCTCCTGGAACTCTGGCCCAGCCGCCAGCTGAGACAACCCCTCCAGTAACTAAGCAAATATCTCTGAGGACATCTGTTTAGCTCCATGCATGGAATAGGGGGTCAGAGAGCTCCCAGAGAGCAGGAGTCACTGGGTCTGGAGCCCACACAGTTGAGACCTTGGCCCAGTGCTGCCCCAGAAAACAATACCAGCCTCAGGAACAAAATGAGGACTTAGAAAATTTGGAGAAAAGGGCTTTTGGCAACAAATTTAGCTGGACATCTTATATTTTTGCTTGCTAAATCTGGCAACCCTAGATATATTATACTTTACTTATTTTGGGGCTCCCCAATAGTCCAAATGGACTATTATTAATTGTTGAATTTTTGTTGTCTAAAATACATCTTAAAATAATACTTTCTAAACTTTGGCATATGTGCATACTTCCATTGTTATTTACATATAGATGGCAGTTTCGATTTGTAGAAATGACTATGAGGCCTAACTTATGCAGTCATACAGACCACATAACAAGGTTCTTGTCAACCACAGACCACATATACAAGGGTAGTCCCATAAGATTATAATGGAGCTGCCTTATGCAAATGTACCTATTTAATCTTTTATACCTATGTTTACTGTGACTTTTATAAGTTTAGATATGTTTAGATATACAAATATCATTGTGTTACATAATTGCCTACAGTATTCAGTACAGTAACATGCTGTGTAGGTTTGTAGGGGCAATAGGCTGTACCATATAGCCTAGGTGTGCCTAGTACTCCATGCCATCTAGGTTTACATAAGTATACTCTGTGATGTTTGCACAAGGACAAAAATTACCCACAATTTTCTCAGAATGTATCCCTATCATTAAGCAAGACATGACTATAGGTTTTAATGTAAAGAAACTTTTTCTGCCTAAATAATCCTTGAGAAGCTGCCTCATCCCCAGTGCCACCCATAAATTCTTGTATTGTACATTCAAGCCAAACAAACATATTGATCATCTACTAATAGTTTATTTAAGTATACTCAATTTAAGCATTTAAGTATACTCACTATGAGTATATACTTACTCACAGTGCTTGGTCCTGGCCCAAGATACTTAATAACAACTGATAGAATGAATAATAAAATTCAGTAATTCCATGTAAAAAAGAAAGAACAGGATGAGAAAAAGCAGAAACTTGAAAAAGTACAAGACCTTGCAAGTAATCTCATCTGTCAGGAACTTAGGGTCGGCCTATGGGCGTAGTAGCAGATGCAGTTAGAAAAGCAACTCACCTGTGGAGGGCTAAACTAAAGAATTTTTTTTTTTTTTAATTTTAGCAGCACTGAAAAACCAATGCTGTGAGATTAGTGAGGGGAAAAGCTACTTATTTTATAAACTACAGAGGTCTGCTTCCCATCTGGTTTGTTATACCAACAACTTTATAGGACACTATGGTGAATAGTTGTTAAGTATTCACACTATGGTGAATAGCTGAACTATGGTGTATAGTTGTAAGTAGAGACTTAGTGGAATGAGAGCATCATGTCTGCAGACATTAAACAAGATAGTATTTTTTTTAAATCTCTTTTAGTACTTAAGGAACAAATCACACTGTCTTTCATAATTATCCATCAGCCCTTAGGTCTGCTGACTTCATATTCACGTATTTTATCCCATGAAGATGGTGGGAAAATAAAAAACAAAACTACCCTTGACATTCATTTGTCTTACTAACTAGTAGTTTCTATGTCATGGAGTTTTGCTGACGACCATATTAACCTCTAAAATTAATTTACTTATAGAACTTAGTTTTTAAAAAGCCTTTCATATATAGTGGCATTCTTTGAAATGCCAGAAGAAAGTAAATGGAAAAAGAAAATGAATTATAACACTGGAGTTTTATTTAGTTTTGGTTTTGTGTAAAAGATCTCTTTGAGAATTAGATGACAACTACTGACTCACCCTGAAGATTTGCATCTAACTTCATGGAGTTCCAAGACCTCCTTAAGTTCATTCATGAAATCCCGCTTCTAAGGAGTCTGAGAAACCCAGCTTCAAAAACTAACTTAGTGTACGTTAAGTTATTTCATCTTGTTGTTTTTGCTCCTCCTCCTTCTTCTTATGTAAACATTTTAACTAAGTAAGAGCCAGAGGGAAATAAAAATTCATTTGACTGTAAGTAATAAGTAAGTGCTAATTATTCTAAATAATTCTAAATAATACTTTTGTACCAAGACCAGATAACATTGTAAAGTAAATCTATTGGCTTTCTAAATTTTCCATGTAGAAATCAGTGTGTATTTAACTGGTTTAAAATCTAGTCTTAGTTCTTTGTTCCACAAATGCTTAAGAGAAGTTGCAAAATCCCATGCTAGAGATGACAGGGGAAGAAGAAGGACTAACTAAAACAAAGTCTGTGTCTTCAAGGAGACTGTAATCTAATAGAGGCACTTACATAAAGTAATGAGAATGCAAAACAGAATGTGACATATTAGAAAAATACAGATCATATAATAAAAGGTCATGAGATCCCAGAATTGGAGAGTAGGACTGTTAGTATATATCAAGGAAGGCCACGTGAAGTGTTTCAGCTGGGCTATGAATAATGGATAGGATTATATATGAGGAGATAAGGAAAGAGGTCATTTCCTTCTTGGTGGAAAGAACAAACCAGACCCTGGCACCAAACAGGCCCCAATATATAGTTATGCCACAAATGAACAAGCAAAGGAGCATGGAAAGGCCAAGAAGAGGGCAGTCCAAGGCCTTTTGTGCAGCACAGTGAGCAATTTTGGTGAAAGTAAATATGAAAGGAGCTGCAGCAAAATTGATGTGTGAAGTGGGCTGAAGCAACAGGTGAGGGAAACCTATTAAAGGGGTTGGAGCTAGAGAGTAGCGAAACCAGAGCTCTGTTTTACTGAGAACAGAACAAGATATAAGAATCAAAGGACACACATCAAAGGAAACAATTAATAAAGTGAACAGACAAACTCCAGACTGGGAGAAAATATTGACAAGCCATACATCTGATAAGGGATAAATATTCAAAACATGTAAGGAACTCAACTCCATAAAAAGAAAACAAATAATCTGATTAAGAAATGAGCAAAGGACCTGAATAGACATTTCTTAAAAAGATATACAAATGGGTAACAGATACATGAAAATAAACTCAACATCACTAATCCGTATGTAGGAAGATGCAAATTAAAACCACAAAGAAATATCACTTCACATTTGTTAGAATGGCTGTTATCAAAAAGACAAAAGTGTTGGTGATGAAAAAAATAAAAATATCTCACCCAAAATATACTTCCTTGACATATTTTGAGATGACTGTTCAGAGGGCCTGCAAACAGAAGCATCCCTGCAAACTTGCCTTTTGTGGGAGAGATTTGCATCTGTAGAGAATCAGCATTGATGGAAACAGGTTTTCTTTGAGGCTTTTCTTTGTCCAGATCTAGGAAAGATTAACTGAGAGTCTGACACCTGTAAAAGTCCGAAAGAAACATTTACCATCTATTCCCTCTGACAGCTGCTACCTGTGAGGTTTCATTTACATCACAAGACCACATTTGCTACACAGGCCTGCTCTTCTCCCCCTCCCATGATCTATTCTGCCACCATAACCTGCTTGGCTATGATCAGGCCCCTACTCTTTCTGCAACCTCAAAATGGTATATAAGCTTCTGAACCCCATGGGGAGGTGATAATCACTTTGTGCTTCTCCCCTATGTGCATGTCAATAAATTTGTATGCCATTTATCCAACTAATCTGCCTGTTGTCAGTTAATTTCCCAGCAAACTTTCAGAGGGCAAAGGTAAAGTTTTCTCTTGCCTCCTAAGAAAAGGTTGTGGAAAAAACGAAACCCTTATACAGTGTTGCTAGGAGTGTAAGTTAGTACATCATATAGAAAACAGTATAGAGGTTACCCAAAAAGCTAAAATAGTACTAACATATGATCCAACAATCCCACTACTAGGTATGTTACAGTAGGTAGGTAGTCAGGCATGAACAGGGCAGGAGAGGCACCCCGCACCGGGAATCTCAGAAGATCATCAGGTGATGATCAGGTGATTGTTAACGGTCTCTGTAAAATAATAATTGGTCACAGCCGGCACTAGGGAAAGGTAGGCTTCCAATAGGTAGAAAAAACCTGATCATAAGCTTCCTGATAAGATCTCAGGAGTTAGGCAAGTGGACTCAAGCATGTGCATTAGGAGGCAAAATGGCAGAGTTTCACTGCTAAATGAACTTCTTCTAGGAATGCTAAACTGGTAAGGAAAGAACACCTCAAGTGAGCATGAGGACGATTCCAGTAAACACAATGCTCATGCATTCCTCCCTTCCCAAGCACTAGCAGGCCACTGCGCATGTGAACAGCCCACCCCAAGGGAAGAATCAGGGGAGAAGGAACGCAAGACCCCAGAAGTATGCCAACATATAAAATCCCAAGTCAAAGTTCAAACAGCACACTTAAACTCTTAAGTTGCCCCCTTGGCCCTCTTCCAAGTGTACTTTATATCTTTTCATTTCTGCTCTAAAGCTTTTTAGCAAACTTTCGCTCTTGCTCTAAAATATGCCTAGGTCTCTCCTTCTGCCTTATGGTCCTCAGTCAAATTCTTTCTTCTGAGGAGGCAAGAACTGAGGTTGCTGCAGACCTGTATGGATATAGATTTGCTGCTGGTAACAGGTATACACCAAAAAGAAGGGAAATCAGTATATCAAAGAGATATCTGCACTCCCATGCTTATCACAGTGCCATTAACAATGGCCAAGTTATAGAATCAACCTAGGTGTCCATGAAGGGATGAATGAATGAAGAAAATGTGGTATACATGCACAATGGAATACTATTCAGCCTTAAAAAGAGAAGGAACTCTGTCATTTCTGACAACACTGATGTAAACGGAGAGCATTATGTTAAATACAATAAGCCCAATACGTACGGACAAATACTGCATGCTTTCTCTTCTGTGGGATATGTAAAACAATTGAACTCTAAGTAGCAGAGAGTAGAATGGTGCTTACAAGACGCTCTTCCACCATGGAATGGGGGGAATGGAAAAATGATAGTCAAAGGATACGAAGCCTCAGATAGGAGGAATAAGTTTGATTGTTTTTAGATCAATTGCACAGTGTGATGAATAGAACTAATAATCGAGTTCTGTACATTTCAATAACACTAAAAGTACATTTCTAACGTTCTCATCACACAAATGTTAAATGTTTGAGGTGATATGTTAATCAGATTAATTTAATCTTTTCACATTGTACTCAAAATTCATAACACTATTTTGTATCCTATAAATATATACAACTGTCATTTGTCAATGTATAACACTTTTTTTTAAAAAAAGAAATTCTTTAGGTGAAATAGCAAACATATATATATATACACATGTACATATGCATATACATGTATATATACACAGAAGAGCAGAGACAGATGTGGAAGCCATAGAATAGTGGGGCTTGTTGTACATCTTCCAGAATCACAAAATTTACAGTGATTCAAGAGTTAGTTATTTCCATGTATATTGTCCCAGACTGTGCAGTGGCCCAGAATCTCTTTCTAATTGGCTTTCTAAATTAGTCCTGGCAAATGTGTATGTACATATCTGGCTTTGTCCACTTATGCTGCTATAACAAAATACCACAGACTGTGTGATTTACAAATAATATAAATTTATTTGCTCAGTTCTAGAGGCTGGGATGTTCAAGATCAAGGTGCCAGCAGATCTAGTGTCTGCTGAAGGCTGTGTCTGCTTCTAGGATGGTACCTTGTCGCTTTTTCCTCTGGAAGGGAGAAATGCTGTGTCTTCACATGGTGGAAGAGACAGAAGGGCAAAAAGGGCCTGGGATGGTGAAATAGCAAACATATATATACACATGTACATATACGTATACATGTATATATATACAGAAGAGCAGAGACAGCTGTGGAAGCCATAGAATAGTGGGGCATTACAATCACTCCTTGTCAAAACCTACCCAAATCACAATGCATCATCCTTCATCTGAAGTGAGATGCAGCATAAAGTGTAATAGAACAGGAAATATGATTGTATTTCAAATTGATACCCAATTGTGAAACAAAGGGCTAATCCATCTGTTATAGGAAAAGTGGCTTATTATCATCAAAATGGAAACCGAAGAGTAACGATTTCAAGGAAAGAGCTACCAATACCACGCTCAGGACTCCTATTTAACCTCACATCCAGGGATATTGTAAGAGGTGTTTGAATCAGGGCAACTCCATCTTGAATAGGGGCTGGGTAAAATAAGGCTGAGACCTCCTGGGCTGCATTCCCAGGAGCTTAGGCATTCTAAGCCACACAATGAGATAGGAGGTTAGCAAAAGATACAGGTCATAAAGGCCTTCTGATAAAACAGGTTGTGGTAAAGAAGTCCGCTAAAACCCACCAAAACCAAGATGGTGATAAGAGTAACCTCTGGTTGTCCTCACTGCTCATTACAATGTATTAGCATGCTAGAAATCACCCCCACCAGCGCCATGACAGTTTACAAATGCCATGGCAACATCAGGAAGTTACCTTACAGTCTAAAAAGGTGAGAAACTCTCAGTTCTGGGAATTGCCCACCCCTTTTCCAGAAACTTCATGAATAATCCACCCCTTGTTTAGCATATAATCAAGAAACAACCATTAACATGGCAAACCAGCAGCTCAGGCTGCTGCTCTGCCTATGGAGTAGCCATTCCTTGTTCCTTTACTTTCTTAATAAACTTGCTTTCACTTTACTCTATGGACTCACCCTGAATTATTTCTTGCATGAGATCCAAGAACCCCTTCTTGGAGTCTGGATAGGAACTCTTTTCCAGTAACAATAAGACCACTTTACTGTTGGTGAGCTGCTGTGGTAGACTCCTGCCCCATACCTCCTTTTTCAGAATGTCAGTGTTACGAACCTTACCAAATCCCCAAGCTGCTACATTTATATGCAGGGAGATTATTATAAATGAGTCTTTAAGTAAATAGTTGTAATACAATGATGCAATGTACAAATTATCTTTTATTTAATTAGCTTATTATAATGGCATCTTTTTGAGAGTTACTCTGATTTTACTCAAATCAATAATTGATAAGATAAATATATGAAAATATCTTGAAATGTCATAGAGAAACTTGCTGTATTTCTTTTATTTCTGATGGGCAGAAATATATAGATTTACAATATCAGACAAGTAGCCCTACTATTTACACTTACGGTAAAATTGTGTATTAGCTATATCTGCTTTTAATGCATTTTCAGCTACATGTTCTAAATTATAAACCTTTGAGGAGAGGACAGTAGGTCTTTTGTGAAAACCTAACAAAATTAAATAATGTAAAAATAAAAATAATATAAAATATGTTTAAGGTAAATTATGATCAGGACATGAATTCGTAACATGTTTGTTACATAACAAAAGCACAATTTTAAATTTCAACGTCAAGTTGGCCATCACAAACACACCCTACAGTCAAGATATTTTCCATATAAGCCTACATTTTAACAACCCCAGTGCCAGATTTCCAACAGGATGGGTGTCACCTGGTCTTCTAGCATGTATACTAATAACAATTTGTGCTTTCAACAGCTTTTCAGGAAAGGATGCTCTTCAAAAAGGCTTTAGAGTAATTTCTCCTATTTGCTTTCTTACTGTTTATTTCAGCAGAAATTATGCCCGCTTTAATCCTGTCCATAGAATACTCAACCTGCTCTAATGCTCAGTTCTGTATAGCTTTGTATAGCTCTGTAGCTTTGTGAAAATCAAACAAAACAAATCAATTTCAGCCTATAGTAATCACCCCATGTATGTATGTATGTCAGACTTTTAAACATAGCTTTTCAATATTTTTCTAAGATTTAAGGAGCAACTTCTACTGCTACAAATCCTTTCAGCAGAGAGATATTCCCTATAATATAACACATCCTCACAAATGTCTAAAATTGGACAGTGGGATTTTAGTTTGTTTTTACTAAAAATTAATTCATAAATATCTATTTCTGAGGTTTGAATTTATATCTATTGATGAAATTATAATAATTGGAACAAATGTCTATAGCATAAATATATACATTAACTTTTTTTACAATGTATATATTTCAAAG
The DNA here is from genome assembly GCF_000001405.40 of Homo sapiens. Lineage (NCBI taxonomy): Eukaryota > Metazoa > Chordata > Mammalia > Primates > Hominidae > Homo > Homo sapiens. The sequence goes on along the minus strand of NC_000004.12, from coordinate 80,415,583 downwards.
TAAACCAGTATTTCCCATGTATATATTAACTATTTTTATATGAAAATTATATAAACTACCAGTTAAACTACTATTTTAGCAACCAGATTAAAAATGTAGATGAAAAACAAAATCAAAAATTTATTTCATTCAGATTCAATATGTTGCCATAGATTGATACACAAATTAGTACTTGACTACACTGTACAAGAAGCAATGAATTTTATGTAAATAGTAAATGTTTACAAGAGTATTTTTTATTAGACCTCCTTTACAATATAGACTTATTTGGGGGAATGCTCAAAAACAGAAAATTAGTAGCAACTTCTAACTCTGTAAGTCATTTCTTAGGCCTGACCACACATTAGCTCACCCAGAAAGACGGCCAAAATTTTGTTAGCTATGTTGTCACTGCCACAGTTGTAACATTACCAAGTTAATATAAATGATAGAGGTTATATTTTCATTTTTTAAGTTGACTTAATTTAGCAAATATTTATTGCAAAACCACTAGACTTCTGTTAGGAGACTCTTTTTAAAAGGATGAGGTTGTCCCCATCTATGTAATTTTATTAATTTATATATATTCACTCAGTACAACTATTGCTTCAGCGCCTCTATGTTTCAAGCAGTGGTTTGGATAGGTAGGGTCACAATGGTGAACCAAAAGGGAATAGTCCCACCCTTAGTGGTATTTAACACAAACGTGTATGAATCTTTTCACATAAAATACATTTGTCAATATGAAGAGTACATGTATGTAAATAAATATGCCAAGAAAGATGAAATTTCCCTAAGGTAACTCAAGAGTACTTCCATGTGGATGTTGTGGGTACAGAGGGGGTTAGTAATAGAAGTATAAAATGGAGTCTGTTAGAATACAATATATGTCCTTCAGGGGATGGGCAGGGAGGATTCCATGACCCTTGACAATACTTTAGCCGTAGCAGCCCCCTTGAATCTCTTTTATCTTGAGGAGGTGCACATGAGATTTCATTTGCAAAAATATTCTGCTGAAGCAACAACAACAAAACGCTTTGAAAATCATTGACCTAATTATTGTGCTTCATTTTATTCCTTAAACTTGATGAAAAACTACTTTAAAACTAGTACAAATCCTTTGATGTTCTAAGTGAACAAAAGTTTTAAACTGGCTTCTATTTAAAAATTGGATTGGGAATGATACTCTTCTCTAGCTGCGTTTTCCAGACACGTCTCACTACATTAGAAATACCCATTTGTCGCGGTGGCTCACGCCTGTAATCCCAGCACTTTGGGAGGCCGAGGCGGGCGGATCACGAGGTCAGGAGATCGAGACCATCCTGGCTAAAACGGTGAAACCCCGTCTCTACTAAAAATACAAAAAATTAGCCGGGCGTAGTGGCGGGCGCCTGTAGTCCCAGCTACTTGGGAGGCTGAGGCAGGAGAATGGCGTGAACCCGGGAGGCGGAGCTTGCAGTGAGCCGAGATCCCGCCACTGCACTCCAGCCTGGGCGACAGAGCGAGACTCCGTCTCAAAAAAAAAAAAAAAAAAAAAAAAGAAATACCCATTTGTTTCTTGCATGCCTTTCAGACCTGGCTCCAAGAAGACAACTGAGTCTTCTTTTCAGAGATGATATTCATGCTTATAAAGATGAACATGGGCCAGATGATTCTGCCCTCTTAACCAGAAGTGACTGAAACTGGGTCAATCACATTTTTTTCTCCTGGAAATTTGCAATTATGACTCACAACTTTTATCAATTTCTAACTGCTTGGACAGAAAGACAAAACACTGCAACAGTCATTTTATGGCATAAACAGAGAGAAATAGAGAAGCAGATTTGCAGTTAAAAGCAAAAAAAAAAAAAAAAAGAATGACACAAACATACAGACAAATGAAGAAATGAGTGGCCATGAGGCTCTGGAGAAGAAGATTCAGCTTTATTTCCCGACTTTGAGGTCTTGGACTCTTGTGCCTCGTGAGACACAGACGAAAAGTGAATTTCTGTTTATTCCATCTGGAATTGCTAATACATCCACTCTCTATAGTTCCTCCAGTTTCTTGTTCCCTTCACTGTCCCAGATTTTCTTTCCTTTTTGTTTTTACTCAAGTAGAGTAAGTCTAAGCTCAAAAGTCTGTAGGTACCAATAGGGCTTCATTAAAGGTAATAAGCTAAATTTGCAGGTGTTAGTTTCTGTCTACCTAGCTATAAACATCTCCAGCTCCTGGGTCCCACCCTGAAAGGTGTCACAGGTGAGCTCACATACAGTCTTGTTATCTTCTCTCACTCTTATCCCTCTCTGGGATGCCTGCTGCTTTCACAATCACCTAAGGGTAAGGCTTCAAAGCCACAGCCAGCACCATAGTCAATGCTCAAGGAATGACAGCAACGTCTGGCTCTACACTTTGATCTGTACTTGCTGTGCAATTTCACTCTTTCCATTCTCTGTTAAACCCACTCCAGTTAAGCTTTCACCCATACTTTTCATGTTATCGCACAGGTGGCTTTGGGATACAAACAAGGTCCACTCTCTTCTCACACAAGTTGAGAACAATTTCTCAATCGTACATTTTAACTTAATGTTATGAGGCTACCATTCAAAAAGACTGAAATCTGTTACTTATTTTATGCATATATAATAAATTCTAAACCTGAGCAGAGTCTTCCATAACACACAAATATCAATGCTAAAATTCTGAGTCTTAAACACTTTTATACTACATTCTAAATCTTCTTGAGGCTGAAGGATGCATACCCATTAAGGAAGATAATTGCCATCCCTATGAACTGAGATTACTTTAACCAGGGATTTGGTGAAAAAATGAATAGACAGATGAATGAATAGGTATGTGTGTGTGTGTCAAGGCATCATTTCTTGATATTAACAATCCAACAATAATTGAGACACATATCTACATGTTGCTGCATTTCTTCAGCATCCTCAGTGAGCAAAGATGCTGGAAAAATGTCCTCATTTTCTATACTACACATTGTCTATGCCCATGTCTCCCAGTTATCTTACTTAATACAAATCCTTCAGCTTTCTCTCTCTGAGGCAAGGTCCACAGCACCATACTCACCAAATAAGAATGAATCACTTGCTCCTCTGTGCTACTGGAATATGTTATGTCTGCACATTCCACTTTGAGCAATATATTTAGTTGAGTTCATGCGTTATTCCTCTCTGAACTATAAGCTTCTTAATTAAAGGGGCTTTTTCTTGCTTATCTTTTTATCCCAGAACGTGTCATGAAAACACATTCATTTAGGAGTAGCTTATAATATGCACATGTATATTTGAATTATAATGCTTTTATGTTTAGTGTTTAATAAGCAAAAAAAAAAAAGGACTATATGTGGATTCAGACTATTGATCAGAAATGAAGTGCAGAAGCTTGGGATAGTTAAAATGATGACCGTGAAAGTTTGGATAGGCAAGTGGTCTCCAACAGAAGGGAAGCACAGTACAGGACTAAAAGCATGGTCACTAGATTGCTTGGTTATGAATCCTAACTCCTCTATTTACTAGCTGAGGGACCTATGTAAGGTACTTAACCTCTCTGTGAGTCACTTTCTTATTCCATAAAAGGGACCTAATGCAAGCCCCTAGTTCATTGGATGACTTGAGGATTTGAAGAAACAACACATGCAAAGCTTTCAGAGTAGTACTTAGAGAAGGCAAGCCACTGCACAGAATACACCGTAGATGATGCTCTCTGTGGGCACTGAGAGTGAATGTTCAATAAATGCTATTTATTATTACTGTTATATTAATACATATCTGTTCTCTCATCCTCTTTATTATGAAGTAAAATAAGTCTAAATTATTGAATGCAAAAGAGAATATGGCAAAGAGAAATCTTATCCTAGAAAATAACATTCAAGGGCTCTTGACACCTATTTGTCTCATAAACTTCCAAGGATCAGAAAATATCATAACAACAAAACAATAACAAAAAAATGGTGAAAGAATTCACATTTTTACTAACAAATCAATAGTGCATAATATATAGCTTCGGGTTGCTATATATTATATTGTAATATATAGCAAAGGTTGTTTATTAAATAAATAAATAAGGTACAATTTTTCTAAAGACAATAAATACTATAGCATGTAAATGTCTAATCTTTTGATAAAAAAATTAGATTGTTTACATTCCTTTCATCCTTCTAGATTTTTCCCAGTACTATATATTTTACTTGAAATACAAAGACTCAGAATAAGTTAACTCTAAGCAAACCTTAGGCAGTGATAAAACTAAATGAAGTAATGATTGAGGATGATTGAGGACAACTAAGAATTAATGAATTAAGTGCCAGTTTATACATATGGATTGCTGTTTCTTCAAATTTCCTCTAAAATTTAAGTTCACTGTGGAAGTTTTCAATATCCTATGTCACTCATGGCTTTTGAAAATCTAGATGCTCAAACTCCATGGCTTATTTGAAATGTAAACCTTTTATTATTCAAGAGGCCAGCATTCAATTATCCCAATAATGGGTCAAATAGCCAAAGGAAATAAATATCTCTGGTTACATACAATGCTGCTTTAGTGGAGAAGAGCAACTTAATTATGACACGTATAATACATTACCGAATTTTACCCAAAACCTAAGTCTTGGTCCTCATTCATTTAACACACATTTCTTTATGTTCTCCTAATGCAGATGATTACTTTTTGGAGCCAACCTAATTCTTATTAACAAAAGCTGCCAGTATTAAGGAAGGATGTTTCTAAATATGTACAACTTCTTCCTAGAATAGAAAAAAAAACAGACAAGCAGGCCAAGGTTTGAATTCTGCACTCACCTGTTGAAAGACCTTAAGCTAATGATTAAATTTCTCTTAGTCTATTTCGTTATCTGTGAAAGGAGAAACACACCACCACCCAGTGATAAGTGAGATAATTAATGCAATGCTTCATCTTCAATATAACATTAGCTGTTATAATTTCTTGAATGATCATTGCTGATTCAGAAAGTTTAGAGAAAAAGGCCACATGCAATACAGTTCTATACATGGACGGGTAAGAAACATTTTCTCTTCCCGGATCTAGTCACCAATACCTGTTTAGTTAGGAGGAGATCAGAGATACCCATGGAAATACCCTTTGATCTCTGCTTCTGCTGAATTCTAGCTTCTATCCTTGGATACATGGTCCCAATTGACTATCTTCTAGGCAACTCCCACCAGGGTGAAAAACACATGCATAGAATCTCAGAGTTGGAAGAGTTTCAGAAGGAGATATAGGGTATTTCCCTGCACTGAGGTGGGAGGACACGCAAATCATCCAAGGCAATGGCTATCTATTCCTACCTTTGAAAATCTCTAAGGATTAAACTTCCCCGTATTCCTTGGTTACCTGTTTCAGTGTTTAATCCCTTCCTTATACTTATGTCCATCTTTATGACCAACTGAACTTTTTCTCTTGCTACAATTTAAAAGTATTTCCTTTTATTTGGTCTCCTGTGGAAGTAAAGAACATCTGTTCTGCATCTTCCCTATAATAACCTTTCAAATACTTGAAGACAGTTAAATCATCCCTTCGTCTTCCCTTCTCCAAGTTAAACACTTCTGATCCCACTGAGCACTCTCTTAGGAGCTAGTCCCCATTCCTTACATCACTTCTGCTGATCTTCGCTGGACCTTCTCCAGAGTCTCCATACCCTTGCCAAACTCAAACACCAAAATTGAACACAGAAACAATGCCAAATAAAGCACAGAGATTACTTTTCACTTCTGTATCCCTCTCTTGATAAAACATTCCAAGTGAAGTGGTGTGCTTGCCCTTTTTTTCCAAAAATATAGTGCTCTTTCTACGTCTTGCTTTGTACTCATGTATGCTATCATCTGTGATACTTTTGTCCAAGGCTCATATCAGATTTCAGGTGCTTCAAATAATTCCTGTCAATAAGGATCAAATTTGGAAGTGCACTGCTTCAGAGCATTTTTCTACCTTCTGTAAAAGTTAAAATAGTAAAGCTGTGAAAACGAAATAAAAATCCATGAAATCCATGAAATAACCATCAATACATCTTGATGACATTTTAAAAACATGTTTTCTTCATGATACCTATGTAGAAATTCATTTTTTTCTAATTTGAGAATGATTAACAAACTTTGTAGGAGTGTTTTATGAGCAAACAATAGCAACAACAAAACAAAAGGCTAAAATGTATGGGAAACTTTATCAATACATTTGTAAAAATGGTGAGTCCCAGTACATTTTAAATCTAATTTGAATTCTATAATTTTAATTTGTACTTTATAATACTACATATTACAAACACATTTTCTGACACCTGCATTAGTTTTAATACTTGAATGTTTTTATTTAGCGATACATTTCTGAGGGTTTTAGGGCTGCCAATAACTCAAATATTTCAATTTGACCTATTATAAATAATAATATTTGGAACCAGCAAAAATTTCTCATTTTTTTCTTTCTCTGTTTACCTTCATGAAAATACCTAACAATGTACAAATTCTCAGTTCACAAACAGGTTAAGTCAGAATTATATAGTTTCCTAACAAATATATTTATCAGTTGTTTATATTTTTCTCTCTTTTTTTTTTTTTTTTGAAAGAGTCTCATTACAACCCTACTGCCTCCCGGGCTTAAGCAATTCTCCCACCCCAGCCTCCCAAGTAGCTAGGAATACAAGCACACACCACCAATGCCTGGCTAATTTTTCAAGATACCACTTAACCATTTTATTCCTTAGGAATGCAGAAACTCAAAGATATAAAAATAAAAACGTTACAATGATTTGGGAAAAAAAACCAGCAAAAGTTATGTTTTTGTTCTAAAAATTCAATTTTTAAAAAAGTAAGTAATTTTCTTGCCCATTTCTCCCATTTACACCAGAGCCCTTCTCGGTGTCCACCATTCTTATCCATTTCCTCAAATGGCAGTACATAACTTAGGGCATGTGTGGAGAAGAGGCCAGTATGCACCTGTCTAACTTACTCTGTGACTCCCAATAATCTCATGCCCAAGTTAATTTCACATTCTGACTGTCAAAGGCACCTTAAATAAAACAAAAAGACAAATTACCAACTGGGAGAAACTACTTGAAATATAGGTAACAAAAAGTATAAATAAAATGTTCCTCCAAATAAAAAGGAAAAGCACAAATAATAGATTTTTAAAAAGGGCAAAAGACATGAAAACAGGCTTTTCACAAAAGAGAAACACAAATGACCAATAATCCAAGAAATGACCAAATGACTGAGAAATCTTCAATTCAACATATTTAGTGATTCGGAACATAAATCAAGAGCACAATGAGAAAGTACTTTTAAAATAGTTGAATGGCAAAAATAAACCAAATTAGGACAAGTACTAGGATGTAGAGTCAAAAGATATTTTATTAATTGATGTTAGGTGGGGAAATTGGTTTAGCTACTTTGGAAGTAAGGTTAAATATTCACATAACACTCTACAGCTGATGTATTCCAGTGTACAGCATGTGCCCAGTAGAAATTATTGCCTATGTGCATTAGGGGACATGTACATGGCAGTACTGTTCACCATGGAAAAACCTATAAGAAATCCAAATATCCATCAACAAGAAAATGTGAGACTCTATGGTAGTATATTCAACAGAATGTTATACAGATAGCCAAACAAATAAACAATAGCAGCACACAATAATATGAATGATTCTTAGTAATTAAATGTTAGGTGAAAAAGTAAGTCCCAAAAGATTATGTCTAGTACTATCATTTCTTTGTAAAGTCAAAACAACTAAAATTTAAAATATACTTTTTAGGAACACTTATAAATACAATAAATTATATAAAAAGGAAAGTAAGAGGATAATGAACACAGAATTCACAATGTTGGTTAATTTGTGGAGGTAAAAATGGCCCCAATTATTTTTAAAATGTGCTCAATTTTTCATACATCTTTCCCTGTATCTACACCTTTTGCAATACAAATTTTCAAGTTCTCTTATAAAGAAGTGGAATCTATTTCTTCACCCTTTGCATCAGGGCTAGCCTTGTGACTTGCTTTGGTGAACAAACTCGTACAGAAAGAACGGGGTTCCAGTTCTAAGCCCAGGCCTTTCTCCATTAGATCCCTGCCTCTGCCAGAAGAACATGTCAGGCTAGCCGGCAAGAAGTTAGGAGGTCATATGGAGCAGATTTGAGTCATCCCAGCCAAAGCTATTCCAGACCAGGCAGCCCCAGCCAACTCACAAATTGACCACAGACTGAGGAATAAGTCCAGCCAAGATCATCTGAGCCAGTTCTACAGCAGCAGGACTGAGCCCAGCCAACCCATACACTTGTGAGCTGAATAAATGGTGGTTGTTTTAAGCCACAGAGTTTTGGGGTAGGTTTAATGCAGCATTTTCATGACCGTAGATAACTGATACACCTTTAGTTGAAGTAGTCAGGGCTATACTCTGTTGGCTTTTATTATTGTGTATTCTACTGTTTTTTTTTTAAACCTATACTTTCATTCATTGACATTGCTTGACAATGTTTATTTATTTTGTTTTATTCCATCTCAGTGATAACACCAGTTAATTTAACCTCATTGACTACTATTAGGCAGCATAGCTAAGTTGCTCATATCTTGAGAATATTAACCTAGAGTAATATAAAATTTTGCTATTTTGGTTTAAAAAAAACCATGTAGAAATGGTATTGCCCAGATTTTGGAAACATACAGCGCCCTACCACTAACTGACTGATTTTAGGTAAGTTGTTGCTTACCTTGTCTGTGCCTCATTACTATCACCTATATAATGGAGATGAGCACACTTACCCTTCAAGGTTGTTGTGGGAGCCAAATGAGATGCCTATCAATAGCTTTAACACAATAGATAATCAACAAGTTGCATATTAATATTGTGAAGGGTTTCACTAGTATTGGACTTTGAAATTTTTTTTTGACCTGATAGATGTAAATGATATATAACATTAAGTTTGTACTAGGGGCTGGGCACAGTGGTTCATACCTGTAATCCCAGTGCTTTGGGAGACTAACTAAGATGGGAGAATCTCTTGAGTCCAGACATTTGAGACCAGCCTGGGAAATATGGTGAGACCTCATCTCTAAAAAAAGTAAACAAAATGAGCTGGGTGTGGTGGCATGAGCCTATGGTCCCAGCTACTTTGGTGGCTGAGGTGGAAGGATTCCTTACAGCTGAAGATTGAGGCTGCAGTGAACCATGATTATATCACTGTGCTCTAGCCTGGGTGACAGAGTGAGCCTTGTCTCAAAAAATAAAAATTACACTTAAAAAAGGTTTGTATTAGGAATGGATAGAGTATGAATCTGACACCCACAAAGAAATGCAGAACTTCAGCCAACACCACATATCTCTTCCTGAGATTTAAGGATCTGTTGAACTAGGCCTTTGACATTTTGAAGCAAATGTATAAAGTCCATCACATACTAGTTTGACACTTTGGAAACAAATGTACAAGGTTTATTAAATAATCTTCCTACTGACCATACCCTAAATCAATATACTAACATATTTATTTCTATCAAAAATCATTCCTCTTTGATCTTGTGTGGGACATTAGGTTTTTTGTTGTTGTTTTGTTTTGGAGTTTTATTCAGTCATGACATGATCTATCCTGAGGAGTAGATACAGTAAAAACATAACCCATAATGCTATCATTTTCTATGAGCTAATAATAAGAACGTGTGAGTTGGTATCATTAATAACTACTGTCATGGCTGTATCTAATAACTATATCAGAAACAGCTAATAATTTTTCAGGAGCTGAAAAGGGACTCTGAAATGAAGAAAAATAATGTTCTCTTCAGAAAATTATACAATCTATTTCATCTAGTGAATTTTAGAATCAGTCCCAGTTTTATATTCATATTCCTTGTATAAATTGTATGCCGGTTGGCATATTTGAAGCACTGCTACTAATTTAGATATTTGCAGAAGGATGTGCTTAAATACTAATATACTAATAATACCAAACAATATATTAGTATATATACTAATATAAAAACCATAAGAAGTACCCCATTCTAAATGTGCAAATATGTACTTAATGTGTTTTTGCTCTTTTCCTTATTTTTTAAAATTGCAAATTGAAAGAACATAAGCATTATACATACAAAATACATTCTGAGATGAAGTCAATTATATATTTGAGTGACCTCAAAAGTTATTAATGAATATTTAAAGATTTAATGGGAAATGTATTATTATTACCATTTCATAAAGAGAAAATCAAAAGCATACAACATTCCTGCAAATTATATTTAAAATGTCAAGAGAAAACAAAGCATTTAGTCTTGATCTAACGCCATACAGTATTAGAGTTTTGTAATCCCCATCAGGAGTCTTCTTAGGCTCATCTAAACACAGATTCTTGAGACTACCACAGGCAAGACACAGCATCAGTCTGCTTAGAAGAACAGAAGCCACACTGCTAACAGGCCAGCGTCTGGTATGTTTTTCCTGCAGAAGTTCTTGCAGCTCAGGTGCAAAGAAATGAGATCCATATTGGGCAGGTATGGAAACTGGCCATGTTCAAAGCTTCACATCCCACAATTGTCCATACCTCCTATAACAACTCTAGTATAATTTCCAGGTTCTACTAAGAGACATTTGTTTGACGATATATGTCAGTATGTAACTGCTACTCCTCACACCCATCAGAATGGTTACTATTAAAATATCAGAAAATAAGAAGCGTTGACTTGGATGCAGAGAAATTGGAACACTTGTGCACTGTTGGTGGAAATGTCAAATGCTTCAGCTACTATGAAAAAAGTATGATGGTTCCTAAAAAAAACTAAAACTAAAAATACTATAATACAGCAATCCCACTAACAGGCATATATCCAAAACACTGAAAGCATGCTCTCAAAGAAATATTTGTACATCTATGTCCACAGTAGCATCATTCACAAAGGCCAAAAGATAGAAGCAACCCAAGTGTCTATTAATAAATGAATGGATAAACAAAATGTAGTATATACAAAGAACGGAATATTATTCAGCCTCACAAATGAAGGAAATTTTGGTAGATGCTACAACATGGACAATCCTTGAGGACATTAAGTAAAATAAGCCAGTCACAAAACAAGGCAATACTGTGTGATTCCACTTAGACGAGGTACCTCGAGTAGTCAGATTCATAGAAACAGAAAGTAGAATAAAGTTGCTAGGAGCTGGAGAATAAGCAAATGAAGACTTGTATGAACAACAACTCCTATGAAGGTAAGAAGTTTTAGCTTTACAAAGTGAAAAGCTCCAGAGATAGGGTGCACAGCGAGGTGAGTATAATTAACACCACTGAACTCTGCACTAAAAATGGTTAAGATGGTAAATTTAATGTTACATGTGTACTTTATCACAAATAAAAAATAGGAATTATATTGTGTGTGTGTGTGTATATATATATATGATAATATTATATATTTAGATTGCTACAATTGCTATATCACCATTGACCCAGCAATTTCACTTAGGAGCAATTTTCCTAAGCACGTAATTATACATTGAAATAAGTTTTTAAAAGATATATGTAGGTGTAGGTTTTTGTAATGTGATTTTTTAAATCATGTATGTTCAAACTGCATAATTTAAATCATTTACTTCTTAGGCTAGGCCACGGGTATCATACGTAGGACCCCATTGTCAATTCTGACTAAACATTAGTGTAGCAAAATGAATGACAAATAATCTTACTGCTACCTTGTTCATAATACATATAAAAACTGGCACTCTCAAGTCTTAAATCAAAAAGTGATTTATCTACTAGTAGTTGACAACCTAATATTTAACAGGTGCTATGACTGATTCTGATAAGACAGAGGTGAGCAAAGAGAAAAGGTATTTGCTCGTATGGAGCTTAAATGCAGTTAAGGAGAAAAACATTGCATATATTAATCAATCAACGCAAACAAAAATATATAAAGTAATGAGACCTCAGAGAAAAATAAAATAGAGCAATGTTGTAGTATGTGACTGGGTGGCTGGTTTAGATGAACAGTTGGGAGAACTGATTGAAAGATGACATATGAACTAAAATCAGAATGACAAGAAGGAGCCAGTCATACACTGATGGATCAGACAGAAGAGCTTTTCAAGCAGAAAGAATAGCAAATGCAAAGGGCCTGTGTTAGGAGCAGTCTTCATGTTCACAAATGAATTAAAATCAGAGCTAACAGTTTGTATTGGAAAAAAAAGGATGAACAAGATTCAAAACAGCAGAATCATTTTAAACTTAGGGATAACAGCCTTAGAATCCACAAATAAGTTATTTCCTATACTGTATCTTCTTTGCTTGAAGATTATTTGCTTATCGCAAAGAGCAACTATTTCTATTAAAAGGAAATTTTTTTCAGCACTTATGTAAACAAATTTATTTATTGTTGTGAGCTTCTCCAAGACTACTTAGAGTTAAAACATTTTGAAATCACAGAGAAAAATTTTAAGTCAGAGTTCCGGTTTTTTCTTAGGCTGAGAAAGTTTGTTATCGCTATCCAAATCCAAGTGCAAAAACATTTTTGCTAATTTTGCAAATTCACTACTTAGAGAGAAAAGCTACCCAAATACACCTGCACCTTTTCAAAACTGATTTAATATTGTTAAATAAACATATTAAGGACATGAATGTTTAGTCACCAAAAGCTCCATTGCCTAATCTCCTATTTAGAGTGAATTAAACAGGCTACTTAGACTCTGATAAAGACAAACCTGCATTTCATGACATCCTTTTCAAACCCAATATTGTCAGGTGGTACTCAGTGCTTATAATTTTACCTTAATATTGTTCAGTCATATGATTTCTATGATTGAGAATACATGGAATAATGTCTAAGCAAGAGGCTACAATCTGAAGATAGATTATATATTGTCTAATTTTGTTATATGAGGCAGGAGAATATTGTTAGAAATCCAGAGCAGTTTGCTCTGATACCAGAAAGCTAGAGTCTTCATCCTACTTCTGCCTTTTATTGGTTGTACAAACTTGGATATAAACTCTGTGTACGCATGTGTTAGTTTGTTTTCATGCTGCTGATAAAGACATACCCAAGACTGGGAAGAAAAGGAGTTTTAATTGGACTTACAGTTCCACATGGCTAGGAAGGCCTCAGAATCATGGTGGGAGACGAAAGGCATGCTTACATGGTGGTGGCAACAGAAAATGAGAGAGGCAAAAGCGGAAATCCCTGATAAACCCATCAGATCTCATGATACTTATTCGCTATCATGAGAATAGCATGGGAAAGACCAGCCCCCATGATTGAATTACCTCCCCTCTGGGTTCTTCCCACAACACGTGGGAATTCTGGGAAATGCAATTCAAGTTGAGATTTGGGTGGGGACACAGCCAAATCATATAATTCCACCCCTGGCCCCTCCAAATCTCGTTTCCTCACATTTCAAAACAAATCATGCCTTCCTAACAGTCCCGCAAAGTCTTAACTCAGTTCAGCATTAATCCAAAAGTCCACAGCCTAAAGTCTCATCTGAGACAAGGCAAGTCCCTTCTGCCTATGAGCCTGTAAAATCAAAAGCAAGCTAGTTACTTCCTGGATGCAATGGGGGTACAGGTATTGGGTAAATATTGCCATTCCAAATGGGATAAATTGGCCAAAACAAAGGGGTTACAGGGCCCGTGCAAATCCAAAATCCAGTGGGGCAGTCAAATTTTAAAGGTCCAAAATGATCTCCTTTGATTCCAACTCTCACATCCAGGTCACAATGATTCAAGACGTGGGTTCCCATGGTCTTGGCAGCTCCATCCCTGTGGCTTTGCAGGGTACAACCTCCTTCCCGACTGCTTTCATGGGCTGGCATTGAGTGTCTATGGCTTTTTCAAGTGCACAATGCAAGCTGTCTGTGGATCTACGATTCTGGGAACTGGAGGATGGTTGCCCTCTTTTCACAGCTCCACTAGGCAGTGACCCAGTAGGGACTCTGCTTGGGGAGGGCTCTGACCCCACATTTCCCTTCCACACTGCCCTAGCAGAGGTTCTCCATGAAGGCCCTGCCCCTGCAGCAAACTTTTGCCTGGGCATTCAGGTGTTTTCATACATCTTCTGAAATCCACGTGGAGGTTCCCAAACCTCAATTCTTGACTTCTGTATACCCACAGGCTCAACACCATGTGGAAGCTGCCAAGACTTGGGGCTTCCCCCCTCTGAAGCCACAGCCCAAGCTGTACATTGGCCCCTTTCAGCCATGGCTGGAGCAGCTGAGACATAGGGCACCAAGTCCCTAGTGTGCACACAGCACGAGAACCCTGGGCCCAGTCCACTAAACCATTTTTACCTCCTGAACCTCTGGGCCTGTGATGGGAGGGGCTGCTGTGAGGGTCTCTGGCATGGCCTGGAGACATCTTCCCCACGGTGTTGGGGATTAACATTAGGCTTCTTGCTACTTATGCAAATTTCTGCAGCCAGCTTGAATTTCTCCCCAGAAAATGGGCTTTTCTTTTCTATTGCATAGTCAGGCTGCAAATGTTCCAAACTTTTATGCTCTGCTTCCTTTATAAAACTGAATGCCTTTAATAGTACCCAAGTAACCTCCTGAATGCTTTGATGTTTAGAAATTTCTTCCACCAGATACCCTAAATCATCTCTCTCAAGTCCAATGTTCCACAAATGTCTAGGGCAGGGGCAAAATGCCACCAGTCTCTTTGATGAAACATAGCAACAGTCATTTTACTCCAGATCCCAACAAGTTGCTCATCTCCATCTAAGACCATCTCAGCCTGGACCTTATTGTCTATATCACTGTCAGCATTTTGGGCAAAGCCATTCAACAAGTGTCCAGGAAGTTCCAAACTTTCTCACATTTTCCTGACTTTTTCTGAGCCCTCCAAACTGTTCCAACCTCTGCCTGTTACCCAGTTCAAAAGTCACTTATATATTTTCAGGTATCTATTCAGCAACGCCCAACTTTACTGGTACAAATTTACTGTATTACTTTATTTCCATGCTGTTAATAGAGACATACCTGAGACTGGGAAGAAAAAAGGGGTTTAATTGGACGGACAATTCCACTGGGGAGGCCTCAGAATCATGATGGGAGGTGAAAGGCACTTCTTACATGGCGGTAGCAAGAGAAAATGAGGAAGAAGCAAAAACAGAAATCCCTGATAAACCCATCAGATCTCGTGAGACTTATTCACTATCACAAGAATAGCAAGGAAAAACAAACCCCCATGATTCAATTAACTCCCCTTGGGTCCCTCCCACAACACGTGGGAATTCTGGGAGATACAATTCAAGCTGAGATTTGGGTGGGGGCACAACCAAGCCATATCAACTCAGTTTCCCCATTTGTGAAATGGAGAAAATTTCATGTCTATCAAGATAGTTGTGAGCGTTAAACAAGTTAAAACATCTAAACTCCTCCCCAGTGCCTGACACACATCAGCAAAGGATAGTTAAAATGCTACTACTATTATATCATATACAAAATACACTCGGATCAGTTGACTGTCAAATTATTCACTTCAATGAAACTTTATATATCTAATTGCATCTATATCAACATACAGACATAAAGAGACAGACAATATATAAAGTAAGTAAAGCACACATTTCAAAACTTATAACATCACAAGTTGGCAAAAATCCAACAAATAGAGGAATTAAATTTTAATTTTAAAAGTCTACTATTTCTATAATGTTAATTACTTTCAAGGATGTAATATATATTCTTTTAACCTCTTAAAGCAAAAAACGCCTCTGGTTTAGAATGTATAAGTCATGCCAAATCAAGAAATAAGTCTACATTTGAAAATGGTCACAACATTTAAATTTTTTTTATTATTATACTTTAAGTTCTAGGGTACACGTGCACAACGTGCAGGTTTGTTACATATGTATACATATGTCATGTTGGTGTGCTGCACCTATTAACTCATCATTTACATTAGGTATATCTCCTAATGCTATCCCTCCCCCCTCCCCCACCTCAAAACAGGCCCTGGTGTGTGATGTTCCCCTTACTGTGTCCGAGTGTTCTCGTTGTTCAATTCCCACCTATGAGTGAGAACATGAGGTGTTTGGTTTTTTGTCCTTGCAATAGTTTGCTGAGAATGATGGTTTCCAGCTTCATCCATGTCCCTACAAAGGACATGAACTCATCATTTTTTATGGCCGTATAGTATTCCATGGTATATATGTGCCACATTTTCTTAATCCAGTCTATCATTGATGGACATTTGGGTTGGTTCCAAGTCTTTGCTATTGTGAATAGTGCTGCAATAAACATATGTGTGCATGTGTCTGTATAGCAGCCTGATTTATAATCCTTTGGGTATATACCCAGTAATGGGATGGCTGGGTCAAATGGTATTTCTAGTTCTAGATCCTTGAGGAATCGCAACACTGTCTTCCGCAATGGTTGAACTAGTTTGCAGTCCCACCAACAGTGCAAAAGTGTTCCTATTTCTCTGCATCCTCTCCAGCATATGTTGTTTCCCGAATTTTTAATGATCGCCATTCTAACTGGTGTAAGATGGTATCTCATTGTGGTTTTGATTTGCATTTCTCTGATGGCCAGTGATGATGAGCATTTTTTCATGTGTCTGCTGGCTACATAAATGTCTTCTTTTGAGAAGTGTCTGTTCATATCTTTCACCCACTTTTTGATGGAGTTGTTTGTTTTTTTCTTGTAAATTTGTTTGAGTTCTTTGTAGATTCTGGATATGAGCCCTTTGTCAGATGAGTAGATTGCAAAACTTTTCTCCCATTCGGTAGGTTGCCTGTTCACTCTGATGGTAGTTTCTTTTGCTGTGCAGAAGCTCTTTCGTTTCATTAGATCCCATTTGTCAATTTTGGCTTTTGTTGTCATTGCTTTCGGTGTTTTAGACATGAAGTCCTTGCCCATGCCTATGTTCTGAATGGTATTGCCTAGGTTTTATTCTAGGGTTTTTATGGTTTTATGTCTAACATTTAAGTCTTCAATCCATCTTGAATTAATTTTAGTATAAGGTGTAAGGAAGGGATCCAGTTTCAGCTTTCTACATGTGGCCAGACAGTTTTCCCAGAACCATTTATTAAATAGGGAATCCTTTCCCCATTGCTTGTTTTTGTCAAGTTTGTCAAAGATCAGATGGTTGTAGATGTGTGGTATTATTTCTGAGGTCTCTGTTCTGTTCCATTGGTCTATATATCTGTTTTGGTACCAGTACCATGCTGTTTTGGTTACTGTATAGCCTTGTAGTATAGTTTGAAGTCAGGTAGCGTAATGCCTCCACCTTTGTTCTTTTGGCTTAGGATTGAATTGGCAATGCGGGCTCTTTTTTGGTTCCATATGAACTTTAAAGTAGTTTTTCCCAATTCTGTGAAGAAAGTCATTGGTAGCTTGATGGGGACAGCATTGAATCTATAAATTACCTTGGGCAGTATGGCCATTTTCACGATATTGATTCTTCCTATCCATGAGCATGGAATGATCTTCCATTTGTTTGTATCCTCTTTTATTTCGTTGAGCAGTGGTTTGTAGTTCTCCTTGAAGAGGTCCTTCACATGCCTTGTAAGTTGGATTCCTAGGTATTTTATTCTCTTTGAAGCAATTGTGAATGGGAGTTCACAAATGATTTGGCTCTCTGTTTGTCTGTTATTGGTGTATAAGAATGCTTGTGATTTTTGCACATTGATTTTGTATCCTGAGACTTTGCTGAAGTTGCTTATGAGCTTAAGGAGATTTTGGGCTGAGATGATGGGGTTTTCTAAATATACAATCATGTCATCTGCAAACAGGGACAATTTGACTTTTTCTTTTCCTTATCGAATACCCTTTATTTCTTTCTCCTGCCTGATTGCCCTGGCCAGAACTTCCAACACTATGTTGAATACGAGTGGTGAGAAAGGGCATCCCTGTCTTGTGCCAGTTTTCAAAGGGAATGCTTCCAGTTTGTGCCCACTCAGTATGATACTGGCTGTGGGTTTGTCATAAATAGCTCTTATTATTTTGAGATATGTCCCATCAATACCTAATTTATTGAGAGTTTCTAGCATGAAGCGTTGTTGAATTTTGTCAAAGGCGTTTTCTGCATCTATTGAGATAATGAGAACAAAGACACAACATACCAGAATCTCTGGGACACATTTAAAGCAGTGTGTAGAGGGAAATTTATAGCTTAGATACCCACAAGAGAAAGCAGGAAAGATCTAAATTTGACACCCTAACATCACAATTAAAAGAACTAGAGAAGCAAGAGCAAACACATTCAAAAGCTAGCACAAGGCAAGAAATAACTAAGATCAGAGCAGAACTGAAGGAGATAGAGACGCAAAAAAACCCTTCAAAAAATCAATGAATCCAGGAGCTGGTTTTCTGAAAAGATCAACAAAATTGATAGACCGCTAGCAAGACCAATAAAGAAGAAAAGAGAGAAGAATCAAATACATGCAATAAAAAATGATAAAGGGGATATTACCACCGATCCCACAGAAATACAAACTACCATCAGATAATACTATAAACACCTCTACGCAAATAAACTAGAAAATCTAGAAGAAATGGATAAATTCCTGGACACATACACCCTCCCAAGACTAAACCAGGAAGAAGTTGAATCCCCGAATAGACCAATAACAGGCTCTGAAATTGAGGCAATAATTAATAGCCTACCAACCAAAAAAAGTCCAGGACCAGATGGATTCACAGCCAAATTCTACCAGAGGTACAAGGAGGAGCTGGTATCATTCCTTCTGAAACTATTCCAATCAATAGAAAAAGGAGGAATCCTCCCCTAACTCATTTTATGAGGCCAGCATCATCCTGACACCAAAGCCTGGCAGAGACACAACAAAAAAAGAGAATTTTAGACCAATATCTCTGATGAACATCGATGCTAAAATCCTCAGTAAAATACTGGCAACCCAAATCCAGCAGCACATCAAAAAGCTTATCCACCATGATCAAGTGGGCTTCATCCCTGGGATGCAAGGCTGGTTCAACATACACAAATCAATAAACGTAATCCAGCATATAAACAGAACCAAAGACAAAAACCACATGATTATCTCAAAATTTAAATTTTAAAAAGAAATCAAACTAGGCAGCTCACTTATAATCACCTTGATTAGAATAAATCTACTAGCAGGTTAATGTACACTAAAAAGAATTCATTGTATATTCCCCATCCTTCATAGTAATACCAATGCTAATAAAATACACTGTACAAATGTTTAGAACTCAGTAACTGAAAATTGTAAATATAAAATGTATTATCTCATTACACATATTATCTCAGTGATTGTTTACAAAAACATGATTGAGGCAAACATGGGTGTTTGCTGTTATGGTATACTGAGCCGGCTCATAAAAAAACTGGAAGAAATTCTGTTTACGCATCTCCTGACACCTCTCCCTATTATTTATTGAGTGCTGGAAATGAACATCTCTAACTCTAAAAGAGGCAAAGGACCATTGTAGTGGGTTTTTATCACCCTTCCCTTAGACCAAATACACGGTTATATTTTAAAGAATTTTCCCATTAAATAGAAATAAAAACAAACACGAAAAATAATTTATCAACTAAGCAAATTGAGAATGCTGACAAACTTGGCAGTGACACATAGTGCAATGGAAGACATCTATTGCTCTATTTACTTATTTTCTGTCAGTAGTGGCTCTAAGCCTATAAAAGGCAGAGAAGAGTAAAAGAAAGGAGAGAAAGACATTGTGTGTGTATTTGTGTGTATGTGCAGAAAATAAACCTTTTTTTAGGTTTTCTAAGCTTAGTCAATTATTTTCTGTTAAATTATAATTAATGCAGTCACCAGTAACTGAAGGAATAATTACATTTTGAAGAATGTTTACTACTATAGTTGTAAATGATTGATTCAATGAATTTATTAAAAATGAGCAGTTTCATGGGCTTGAATTTAATTTTAATACTTCAGTCCAAATTGTTAAAAATGGCAAGAAGCTAACTGCCAGAAGTTTACTTACATCATCCCATTTTTAAATCAGATCTTTTATCTAATAACTTGTAATAATCAAGTTAGGACTCATTAAACATAATCTTTATGCTTCTTCCTTAAACTTTGATCTTTAAACAATGTTTTAAATACTTTTATGATAAAAACTCTCAACAAGTTTGGTATAGAAGAAATGTACCTCAAATACAGCTACATCACATCCATTGGTGAAAAGCTTTCCTCTAATATCAGGAATAAGAAAAGGATGACCACTCTTGCCACTTCTATCCAATATACTTCTGGAAGCTTTAGCCACAGCAATTAGGCAAGAACAAATAATAACAAAAATTTTAAAAGACATTCAATCAGAAAATAAAAAGTAGAGCTGTCTCTCCTTGCAGGTGACATTTGCTTAAAAACTCTACCAAAAATTACTAGAACTAATAAATTTAGTACATTTTCCATATACAAAATCAACATAGAAAAATCAATTATGTTTGTATACACTAACAACAAACTATCCAAAAAATGAAATTAAGGAAAGATCCCAATTACAATAGCATGAAAATAAAATACATAGAAATAACCAATGAGATAAAATATTAGTATCTATATATTAAAAACTATAAAACTGATGAAAACATTTGAGGACACAAATAAAAAGATATCACATGTTCATGAATTAGAATAATTAATATTGTCAAAAATGTGCATATTTTCCAACTTAATCCACAAATTCTATACAAACTTTCTCAAAATTCCAATGGAATTTTCACAGAAATAGAAAAAAAATGTTGTAAAGTTTTGTGGTATCACAAAAGACCCCAAATAGCCAAAGAAATCTTGAGCAAAAAGAGCAAAGCTGGAGGTATCACATCACCTGATTTCAAAATATGCTACAAAACAATGGCTATCAAAACAGCATGGTACCAGCATAAAAACAGACATACAAGCCAATGAACCAGAACAGAAAGCCCAGAAAAAAATGCACATATTTATGGTCAATTGATCCTTGCAGAAAGTGCCAAGAACACACATTGGGGAAAGGACATTCTCTTCAAAAAATGTTGTTTGGAAAACTGATTCTCTGCATGTGGAAGAATGAAATTAGACCTTTATATCACCCTATATATAAAAACCAACTCAAAATGGATTAATGACTTATACGTAAGAAACTGAAACTGCAAAAATACTAGAGAAAAACATAGGTAAAAAGCTTCTTGATATTGGAGGAAGCAATAAATTCTTAGATAAGTCCCCAAAAGCACAGAAAACAAAAACAAAAATAGACAAATGGGACTGCATCTAATTTAAAAAAAAAAAAAACTGTGTACAGCCAAGGAACAACCTACAGAATGAGAGAAAAATTATACAAACCATACATCTGAAAAAGAGTTAATATTCAAAATGTATAAGGAATTCACTCAATCACAAGAGAACAAACAACCCCATTAGAAAATAGTCAAAGGATCTGAATGGATATTTTTCAAAAGAAGACATATGTATTAGTCCCTTCTCACACTGCTATAAAGAAGTACCAGAGACTGGGTAATATATAAAGGGCAGAGGTTTTATTGACTCACAGTTCCACTTGCCTGGAGATGCCTCAGGAAACTTACAATCATGGAGGAAGGTGAATAAGAAGCAAGTACCTTCTTCACAAGGCAACAGGAAAGAGAGCGTGTGGAGGAGGAACTGTCAAACACTTATGAAACCATCAGATCTCATGAGAACTCACTCACTATCTTGAGAACAGAATGGGGGAAGCCGCCCCCATGATCCAATCACCTCCCACCACTCTTGACATGTGGGGATCACGTGTCAAGATCAATCCCACTCTTGACACGTGGGGATTATGGGGATTAAAATTTAGATGAGATTTGAGTGGGGACACAGAGCCAAACCATATCAACATACAAATGGTCAACAGGTACAGTCATGCATTACTTAATAACAGGAATACATTCTGAGAAATGTGTCACTAGGTGATTTTGTAGCTGTTTGAACATCATAGAGTGTACTGACACAAACCTAGATGGTATAGCCTACCACACACCTAAACTATATGGTATAGCCTATTACCCCTAGGCTAAAAACATGTACAGCATGTTACTGTACTGAATACTGCAGGCAATTGGAACACAATAATAAGTATTTGTGTATCTAAACATAGAAAAGGTACTGTAAAAATATAGCATAAAAAATGAAAAATTATATACATGTATAGGGCACTTATGAATGGGGCTTACAGGACTGGAAGTTGCTTTCAGTGAGTCAGTGAGTCAGTGAGTCAGTGGTGAGTGAATGTGAAAGCCTAACACGTTACTGTACTGTAGGCTTTATAAACACTGCACTAGGCTACACTAAATTTACACAAAATTGTTATTCTTTCTTAAATAATAAATTAATCTTAGCTTACTGTAACTTTTTATTTTATAAACTTTTACAATTTTTTACTTTTCTGTCTCTTTTGTAATACATTTAGCTTAAAACAGAGAATCACTGTACAATTGCATAAAATATTTTCTTTTTTTAATATCCTGATTCTATAGGCATTTTTCTATTTTTAAAATTTGTATTTTATTTTTTGCTTTTAAAACTTTTTTGTTAAAAAACTAAGACATAAACATTATGCTCACACATTAGCCTAAGCCTACACAGGGTCAGGATCATCAATATCACTGTCTTCCCTCTCCAAGTCTCATCCCACTGGAAAGTCTTCAGGGGTAATAACAGCCATAGAGCTGTCATCTCCTATGATAACAATACCTTCTTCTGGAATATTTCCTGAAGGACCTGCCTGAGGCTGTTTTACAGTTAACTTTTTTTAATAAGTAGAAGGAGTGCACTTTAAAATAATGATAAATAGTATATTAAATACATAAACCAGTAAAATAATCATTTGTTAATATTATCAAGTAGTATGTACTATACACAATTATATATGCTACACTTTTTTTTTCATTTTTGAGATAGGGTCTGTATTAGTCCATTCTCATGCTGCTAATAAAGACATACCCAAGACTGGGTAATTTATAAAGGGAAGAAGTTTAATTGACTCACAGCTCAGCGTGGCCGGGAAGGCCTTAGGAATCTTACAATCATGGCAGAAGGGGAAGCAAACACATCCATCTTCACATGACGGCAGCAAGGAGAAGTGTCAAGTGAAGGCAGGGAAAAGCCCATTAATAAAGCCATCAAATCTTGTGAGACCTCACTCACTATCATGAGAACAGCATGGAGGAACCACTCCCTTGATGTAATCACCTTGCACAAGATCCCACCTCCAACACATGGGGATTACAATTCAAATTACAATTCAAGATGAGGTTTGGGTGGGGACACAGCCGAACTATACTATTCTGTCCCTGGCACCTCGCAAATCTCATGTCCTCACATTTCAAAACACAATCATGCCCTTCCAACAGTCCCCCAAAGTCTTAACTCATTCTAGTATTAACCCAAAAGTCCAAGCCCAAAGTCTTATCTGAGACAAGGCAAGTCCCTTCCACCTATGAGCCTGTAAAATCAATAGCAAGTTAGTTACTTCTTAGATACAATGGAGGTAAAGGCATCTGGTAAATACACCCATTCCAAATGGAAGAAATCGGCCAAAATGAAAGGGCTACAGGCCAAAGAAAGGCCTGTAAGGCCGAAAAGGTCTAAGTCAGAAATCCAATAGGGAAGTCATATCTTAAATTTCCAAAATGACCTCCTTTGACTCCATGTCTCAAATGCAGGTCACGAGGTCCAAAATGATCTCCTTTGACTCCATGTCACACTGATGCAAGAGATGGGCTCCCATGGACTTGGGCAGCTCCACCGCTGTGGCTTTTTGGGGTACACACCACTTCCTAGCTTTCTTCACTGGCTGACATTGAGTGTCTGTGGCATGTCCCACCATGCCTGGCTAATTTTGTAATTTTTGTAGTGATGGGGGACTCACTATTTGCCCAGGCTGGTCTCAAACTCCTGGGATCAAGCAGTAGTCCCATCTTAGCCTACCAAAGTGCTAGGATTAAAGGCATGAGCCACCACACCCAGAATCTGTGCCATAATTTTATATGACTGGCAGCACAGCAGTTTCTTTACACCAGCATCACCACAAACATATGAATAATGCATTGCACTATGACATCACCAAGAAATAAGAATTTTTCAGGTTCATTATAATCATATGGGACCACCTTGCATACGCAGTCTGTCATTGATCAAAATGTTGTTATACAGTGTGTGACTGTTATGAAAAAGTGCTCAACATCACTAGTCATCAGGGAAAGCAAATCGGAACCACAATGAGATAACACTTCACACCTGTTAGAATGGCGATTATCAAAAAGACAAAAGATAACAAGCTTTGGCAAGTATGTGGAGAAAAGGGAATCCTTGCATACTATTGGTAGGAATACAAATTGGTATAGCCATTATGCAAAATACTATGAAGATTCTCAAAAAATTAAAAATAGAACTACCACATAATCCAGCAATCCAAGTTCTGAGTATACAAGGAAATGAAATTATCATGTTGAAAAGATATCTGCACTCCCATATTCACTGCAGCATTATTCACAAGAACCAAGATATAGAATCAACCTAAGTGTCCATCAATAGATGAATGCATAAAGAAAATGCAGGATATATGTGTGAGTGTATATATGTGTATATGTATATATATGTGTGTATATATGTGTGTGTGTATACATATATACATATATACATGTGTGTACATACATATATACATATATACATGTGTGTACATACATATATACATATATACATGTGTGTACATACATATATACATATATACATATGTGTGTATATACATATATGCATATGTGTGTATATACATATATACATATATGTGCGCATATACATATACATATATGTGTATATACATATATACATATACATATATGTGTGTATACATATATACATATACATATATGTGTATATGTATATATACATATATACATATGTGTGTATATATACATATATACATATATACATGTATGTGTGTATACATATATACATATATACACATATATGTGTGTATACATGTATACATATATACATATGTGTGTACATACATATATGTGTATACATATATACATATATACATATGTGTGTATACATATATACATATATACATATATGTGTGTATACATATATACATATATACATATATGTGTGTATACATATATACATATATACATATATGTGTGTATATATACATATATATAGAGAGAGAGAGAGGAGAGAATTGCTCAGTCTTTAAAATGAAGAAAATCCTATCATCTGCAACATCACTATGAACCTGGAGGACATTATGTCAAGTGAAATAAGCCAGGCACAGAAAGACAAATACTGTTTGATCTCACTTATATGTGGAATATAAAAAGTAAAACTCATAAAAGCAGAGAACAGATGGTTGCCAGGGGGTTGGGGGGTAGGGTAAATCGGGAGATGTCAGTCAAAGGGTATACAGTTTCAGTAATCTAGAATGAGTAAGCTCTGGAGATACAATGTACGGAATAGCAACTATAGTTAATAACACCATATTGTATACTTGAAATGTGCTAAGAAAGTAGACCTTAAATATTCTCACCATAAAATAAAGGTATTGTGATGGAAATGTTAATAAGCTTGATTATAATAATCATTTCATAATGTATATGTATTTCAAAACATCACATTGCATACTATAAATATGTATAATTTTTGTCAGTTATACCTCAATAAATCTATGTTAATAATTCTGGAAAAATCACTCTGGTTGTCAATTATTAAACTGGAAACCACCAGGGACTCTGGAGACACTATGCTTCAATTTCAATTCCAGCTCTACTATGTGCTAATTGAAAGACTTTAGGCACTTTCTTAAAATTCTGTGCCTCAATTTCAACATCCATAAAATGTGTTTAAAGAAGTAAATAGTAAATGCTTATATAAGGATTTTAGTACTGTCTGAATATTTGAATGTGCTCAATAAGGTTAGCTATTTTTATTATCAGTTAAGCAATAAAGGCACAAAGTAATGAACTCGGTTAGCCAATGTGGTATCAGAATATGAATCATTCAGTCTATTTTGTTTTCTCAATGATAGAGTCAAGCCTTTCTCCTCAAATAAACATTTCGGCTAAAGTATCTTGACCTGATGCAACTAAAACAAAATATATTCAATTTTTTAATTTACTCCTCAAATACCATTCAATTTCTGATCTGGTCTTTGGCCACTGTAAGCACAGGTCTCTTGCTTGGACTACAATGTTCCACAGCTGCAAATTGCCTTAATTTTTAATTTCCCAGGTGTGGGATCAGAACTATGATAATGGAGTGTGTTTTAATAAATCCTTAGACTCTTAAAATGGGACTTCGGAAAGACTAACTCAAACCCAGAGATGGAGTAAGTTGGAGTGTAGGGTGATTAGAAAGTGAAGCTCTAAAGAGAAGAATTGTTCATTATTGTAATACTAGGTAGGAATGATTAGCAGATAATACTGGGTAGAAAATCCAAAAGACAATCCAGATAAATTATTATCTAACCCAATCCAGCAGTGAATAATAAAGATAATAAATGACCCAGTTGAGCTTATCCCAGGCATAAAAGGAGGATTTCGTATTAGAAATTCCTTAAATGTCTTTCAACACTTAATAAAGAAGAAAAAATAGTATGATCATCTGACTTATTAAAGAGCATATAAAAGGGAACTTTCCATGTTAAACACACAAAAACACATGTACACACCCACATATTACTGTAAACAGGGAAATAGTAGACATTATCCCTTTAAAATAAAAAACGACACAAGGAAGGTACACTATTAATACTTACATTTATTCATGTACTACAATGCCTTACAAGAATAATTTAAAAAGAAAGAAAAATAAATTAAGGAAATATGATTGGAAGAGAAGAAATAGAAACATCATTGTTTGCAGGTATGACTAACAGCATAGAAACCCTACCTCCCCAAAAAATCTATTGATTAATTATAAGAAATATAGGGGCTCCAAGATGGTGCAGGTGATCTTTAAGGCCCTGGAGGGAATGGACAACCAGACCATTCTAGCTGTCCCATCATTACTGGATGGCCAAGGAGCAGTCCCTGATCCCAGAGGCCAGAGTGTCAATGCGTCCCCTGCTATCCAGCCATTGGATGATGAGGATGTCTTTCTCTGTGGGAAGTGTAAGAAGCAATTCAACTCGCTGCCAGTGTTTATGACCCACAAGCGGGAACAGTGCCAAAGAAATGCCCCCGACCTGGACACAGTCTCGCTGGTCACCAACAGCATCTACACAATCTACACACCTTCGGCAGCACCCACAGCGGTCCAGCAGGCCTCGCCTCCTGCCAATTGCCAGATCTCTACATACATCACAGTGCCCCTGTCCCCACTGATCCAGGGGAACATCTTGGTAAGCAATGACTTGCTCATGTCTGCCATTTCAGGCTTCACATCCCTGGACCAGCCCATGCCCTAGGGCCCGCGACCTGTGCAGAGCAGCCTGAACATGCATTCTGTGCCCAGCCACCTCACCTAGCCTTCACCCCCTCCTCCACCACTGCCCTCACCACCTCCACCCCACAGCCTGGGCCCCCCTGGGCATCCCAATCCTGGTGGGAATGGTGTGGTGAAGGTGTACAGTGCTGCTGCACTCCTGGCTGGGAGTGGAATGGTGGAGATCCAGGCACTGGTGATGCAGCCCTACCCACCCCTGGAGGTGCCAAACCAGTGTGTGGAGGCTCCAGTATACCCCACCCCCACAGTGTACAGCCCTGGCAAACACCCAAAGGACCAAACCCTGCTGCCCCATGACCAGTGCCACCGGGGGCACCGTGGCCATCTTTGACTCTCCACCAATGCTGAAGACCCCACGGGCTAAAGGTACCAGGGGACTCCTGGAAGCTACAGGGAAGCCAAAGGCTCAGAAACTCAAGTGCCCATACTGTGACAAGTCATTCACCAAAAACTTCGACCTGCAGCAGCACATCTGAAGCCACACAGGTGAGAAGCCCTTCCAATGCATTGCATGTGGCCATGCCTTTGCCCAGAAGTCTAATGTTAAGAAACACATGCAGACCCACAAGGTATGGCCTTCAGGACACGGTGGTGGCACTGTGTCTCGAAACTCTGTGACTGTACAGGTCTTGGCCCTGAACCCCAGTAGGCAGGAGGATGAGGAAAACACAGGGTTGGGCCAGCCCCTACCAAGCTCGCCACAGCTCCAGGCCTGGCCCACAGCCAGCGATAGCAAGGGGCAAGCCGGAAACCCAAGCAGGTAGTCCTCATCTACAGCTCCTACTTGTTCCAGTTCTGCCCCAGCAAGTTCAGCACCTATTTCCAGCTCAAGTCTCACATGACCCAGCATAAGAACGAGCAGGTGTACAAATGTGTGGTCAAAAGCTGTGCCCAAACGTTCCCAAAGCTCGACACATTTCTGGAGCACATCAAGAGCCACCAGGAGGAGCTGAGCTACCCCGGCCACTTCTGCAACAAGGACTTACCCCCGATGTACGACCTGAGCGTGCACCAGTACTCCCACAGCCTCCTTCCACAGCACAGCCCCAAGAAGGGCAGTGCCGTCTACAAGTGTGTCAAACGTGTCAACAAATATCCACCCCAGAGGCCCTGGAGCATCACCTGCAGACCGCCACTCACAACTTCCCCTGCCCACACTGCTAGAAGGTGTTTCCTTGTGAACGCTACCTGCAGCGTCATCTGCCAACCCACCGCAGTGGGGGCAGGTTCAAGGGCCAGGTGTGCAAGAAGTCCTCCCGGCGGGTGCATTACCTCAAACTGCGCGCTCACAACCACTCAGGCGAGAAGCCCTACAAATGCTCGGTGTGCGAGTCCGCATTCAACCTCAAGGACAAACTGTAAGAGAGACATGTTGATCCACCAGCCCTTCAAGAAATATAAATGCCCTTTATCGACGCACACAAGCTGCGGTAAGTTGTTCAACCGGCCGGACAAGCTGAAGGCCCATGTCCTCTCCCACTCCGGCATGAAGCTCCACAAATGCGCCCTGTGCAGCAGGTCCTTCAGCCGCCGTGCCCACCTCGCCGAGCACCTGCGCGCCCACACGGGCTACTACAAGTTCCGCTATGCTGGCTGTGCCAAGGGCTTTTTCCGCCACAAATACCTCAAAGATCACCGCTGTCGTCTCGGCCCCCAGAAGGAAAAGGACCTGCAAACCCGGCGGCACCCCCCCCCCCCACCACCGCCCGCGAGAAGAGGGCAGCCCCGCGCCGTGGCGGCAGTGGTGGGCGCAAGGTGGTGACCCCCTTGCCTGACCCGCTGGGGCTGGAGGAGATGAAGGACACAGGGGCTGGTCTGGTGCCCGAGGCCGTCCCGGGCAAGCCGCCCTTCGCAGAGCTGAACGCGGAGCTTTCCATCGTCGTGGGTGGTGCGGTGGGCACAGAATCTGAGCTGGTGGTACCTGGACAGCTGAGGGGCTGGGCTCCAACCTGGCTCTGGCGGGGCTGCAGGCCGGGGCCGAGGGCCCATGTGCCATGCTCGCTGTGCTCATCTACATCGAGGCCTCAGAGTGACGGACCCGGGGTGTTCGTTTCCTGGGAAGGCCTGATGCTCATGTTTGGGTCCAGGCTCCCTGGGGGCAGACTGGAGATCCTTCCCAGTGGAAGCGAGCCATCGAGCCATTGGCAGAAATCCTTCTGAATGTCATTCATAAACCTTGGCTCATGGCCGCCTTCCGGTGTCCCCTCTCCTGCTGGAAAGCCCTGCAACATTCTGGGGACAGGGGCAGGGCCGCCCACGGTTTCCGGGCAGAGCCACGGCAAGAGAGAGATGGCTGGAGCCTGAGCAGCCCAGCGTCCCGCTGGTCTAGGCTGGTAGTTGCGTCCCCTGGGAGAGAAGACAGGGCAGTTCCGCCCACTCTGCCTCCAGGCTGCCTCCAGGTGGGCTCTAGTCCGTTGCTCTTCAGGAAGCCTGCCATAAACTCTTTGGAGTTTATCTGTTGGACCTTTTCACAGACAGTTCCCCACAGCGTCCTCAGACAGCTCTGTGATGTTGGCTTTTAGGAGGCACTCAACTGTCACGGCTGGACTGCAGCTGTGAGACAGATCTGGCTTCAATTCCAAGAGTTGACATGCACTTGCCTTGTGACCTCGGGCAAGTCACTTCACCCCTCTGAGCCCCGTGTTCCTCATCTGTACAATGGGGCTTACAATACAACTACCTCACAGGGTTGTCCTGGGGATCCAGTATGATGAAATATGCCAGGGGCTTGCTCAATAAATGTTGTTGTCATTAAAAAAAAAAGAAAAGAAATATAGTATATGTAGTGTAATTCATATTTCTGTATAAATGTAATCACGATTTTTTTCTAGAAAACCATATGTTTAAATAAATGTATGAAAACAATAAAACAAAAGAAAATAAATATTCTGGAGTAGTTGTATGTGGACGAAGAGAAATTTAATTGGAAATGGAGATGAAAATGGTTGCCAGAGACTGGAGAGGGATGGGAAATGAGACATTGGTGAAGGTGTAAAGTTTCAGTCACACAGGAGGAATAAGCTCTCAAGATGTATGGCACAGCATGGTGGCTTCATTAATAATAAAGTGTAGTATACTCAAAAATTGCTGAAAGAGTGGATATTAATTGTTCTCATCATAAACAATAATAGGGATGTGAGATGATGGATATGTAATAGCTTCATTTAATCATTCCACAATGTATACATATAACAAAACATCACTTTTTATACCCTAAACATATATATTCTTTCAATTAAATGAAGCAAATTAAATACATACAAATATATATAATTTTTAATGTGTTGATTTAAATAAATAAATGGGGTATAAAGAGGGAAAACATTTTAAAATAAAATTTAATTAAAAAAGAACCTAGCAGGGACTCATGGTAATAATGCTATAGAATGAGGAGGACATTGACTTAACTCTATGTCCCTGAGGTGCTTAAATTAGAAAGGTGGTGGGAATGGGGAGCTGATATCAACTTTGTTTCCTGAAACAAACACAATGAATCCTTCAAAATTCTTGGTTCATGTACTAATTTTTCGGAACAATTTCCTTCCTTCCTTCAATTTACCTCTAAGTCATGCATGAAACTCTTTGTCCTACTCGATCATTAAAATAGGTGTTTTTCCTCTTATCTCCTGAAATAGATACTACAGCAAGCCTATGTCTTTCTAGCTTACCCCAGCTCCCAGGAGATCACAAGTAGTTAACAATGTAGACAAAATAAGTTCTTTGTGTCAATGGTATAACTTGACAGTTTCATTTAAAAATTACAAGTGAAACATTACTAACTGAATGCCAGACTCTTCATAAACTCAAGATTGGCTTGCTAATAGCAACATTATTCAAAATATTTATGAATAATATAGAAACTACTAAATAATTTTGTTTTTAATTCTCAGCATAGTCCTCACCAGAAAAAATAAAAATATATGTCCCTATGCCTACCAATCATCCTTTACGTTATATGATTAAAAGTTCTGATCCTCTGGTTAGTAGAAAATATGAGTAATCAGGTAGTAGAACAGATTCACATCTTTGATGTATTTGTGTGCGTTTGTAGGGGCAGGAGGAGATTGTAAGGAATGGATAAAGGAAGATATAAAAAATGAAAACAATGCTGGGAGGAAGAATGAGTCTTATCTAAGTAAAACATTTTGAATGAAAGTAAAAGCCAAGCAGATTCAATGGTGTCTTGAGCCTTGTAACTAACTATATTATAGAAACCTTGCTAAGATCTTCTACCATGTTATATTGAATGTCTCATCAGAGGCCAAGCAAGTGGACATTGAAAACAGCACAAGAACAATATTAATTCTGAAAATCAGATCTTCTTAAATTCTAATGAGGGAAAGATAACAACAACAAAAAAAAACAGATAGATAAAACCATCTGAATGAACAAAAGCACAAACAGCAGTGTCTCTGATGGCTAACATCAATTTAAGACAATTGCTCAATATAGTTGCTTAACAAATAATAATGAAAGATAAACTTTGATAAATTAGAAAATTTGATAGGGTCTTTAAGTGGAAAGTTGCTTTTTTCTTAAACAGCAAGGAGGGCAATCCAAGACTATTGTGATAATGTCAAGACTATCACAATAAAACATTACAAAATTTATTATTGATCCTACAGGTCAAAACAGAGTTGCTCTTTTTCTGTAAAACTTGATATCTTATTATCTATTAAAATGCTGATGGAAATTATGGTTCACTCTGTCATGCTAGGTTCTCACTATATGATTCCTTGAAAGAAAAATTAATCTTAGATGTTACAATCAGAAATATCTATGCTTCACCTGCTCAATGGTTTTGTTGTTCTGGGTGGACACTGAATTATGTGACGTCAATATTTTTCTTTCTTTTTTTATTTTTAAACTTTCATTTTATATTCTGGGGTACATGTGCAGGTTTGTCCCATAAGTAAACTTATGTCACAGGGGTCTGATATACAGATTATTCTGTCACCCAGGTACTAAGCCTAGTACCCAATAGTTATTTTGTTGTTGTTGTTCCTCTTCCCCCTCCCACCCTCCACCCTCAAGTAGGCCCTAGTGTCTGTCATTCCCCTCTTTGTGTCAGTGTGTTCTGATCATTTAGCCCCCACTTATAAGTGAGAACATACAATACTTGGTTTTCTATTGCTGCATTAGCTTGCTAGGGATAATGCCCTCCATATCCATTTATGTCCCTGCAAAGGACATAATCCAATTATTTTTTATGTCTGCATAGTATTCTGTGATGTATATGTACCACATTTTCTTTATCCAGTCTGTCATTGATGGGCATTTAAGTTGATTCTATATTTCTGCAATTGTGAACAGTGCTGCAGTGAACATACATGTGCAAGTGTTTTTATGATAAAATGATTTATATTCCTTTGGGAATATAAATATAAACCCGTAATGGGATTGCTGGGTCAGATGGTAGTTCTGTTTTTAGCTTGTTGAGGAATTGCCACGAGGCTTTCCACAATGGTTGAACTAATTTGCAGTCCCCCCAACGGTGTATAAGTGTTCCCTTTTCTCCACACCCTGTTATTTTTTGACTTTTTAGTAATAGCCATTCTGACTTGTGTGAGATATTCTCATTTGTGGTTTTGATTTGCATTTCTCTAAGGATTAGTGATATGAGCCTTTTTTCATATCCTTGTTGGCCACATGTATGTCTTCTTTTGAAAAGTGTCTGTTCATGTCCTTTGCCTACTTTTTAATGGGCTTGTTTTGTTCTTGTAAATTTGTTTAAGTTCCTTATAGATACTGGGTAGTAGACCTTTGTCAGATGCATAGTTTTCAAAAATTTTCTCCAATTCTGTAGGTTGTCTGCTTACTCTGTTAAGAGTTTCTTTTGTTATGCAGAAACACTGCAGTTAATTAGGTCTCATTTGTCAGTTTTTGCTTTCATTGCAATTGCTGTTGACTGACAAGCAGTTTTGCTTACATTGCAATTGCTTTCTTCATCATGAAATATTTGCCCATTTTATGTCCAGAATGGTATTGCCTAGGTTGTCTTCCAGAGTTTTTATAGTTTTTGGTTTTACATTTAAGCCTTTAATCCATCTTGAGGTGATTTTTGAATATGGTGTGAGGAAGGGGTCCAGTTTCAATCTTTTGCCTATGGCTAGCTTATTTTTCTCTTTTAAATCTGGCATACATTTTGAACACTAACCTCAACCTCAGCTTCACTCCATTTCTTCAACCTTTTCTTTCTCTCCATCTTTTAAAATCTTTTTGTCATAAGATATACACATTTCCCTTGTTAATTGCCTCAAATTCTTTTGTAGGAATGCAGACTATAGATAGCTGATAGATAGAAGGAAGATAGTAGAAGGAAAAAGGAACAGGAGGAAGGAAATGTTTTGAAACTATTTCCCAGAAGCATAATCGGGCAGCAGATCATAATGAACTATGAAGGATGTTGAGACTGAACAACCAGGTAAGGCATTGCAACAAACCAAGTCAACTGGTTTGACTGGATTAGCGATTTACAAGAATTTTAAAAATGTATATGGGCCGGGCGCGGTGGCTCACGCCTGTAATCCCAGCACTTTGGGAGGCCGAGGCGGGTGGATCATGAGGTCAGGAGATCGAGACCATCCTGGCTAACAAGGTGAAACCCCGTCTCTACTAAAAATACAAAAAATTAGCCGGGCGCGGTGGCGGGCGCCTGTAGTCCCAGCTACTCGGGAGGCTGAGGCAGGAGAATGGCGTGAACCCGGGAAGCGGAGCTTGCAGTGAGCCGAGATTGCGCCACTGCAGTCCGCAGTCCGACCTGGGCGACAGAGCGAGACTCCGTCTCAAAAAAAAAAAAAAAAAAAAAAAAAAAAAAAAAAAAAAAAAAATGTATATGTTAAGAGTAATTATAAATAAAAGAATCAGCAAGAGTCCATTTTTCATTACCAATTAGAATTTTCATCAAGGAGATTTTGAAGACACTCTAAAATATAAAATCTATAGGGCCAAAAATATGGTATTATCATAATAAAAATGGCATTTTGGCATGGGAAATAGAATTCAGTGAAAGAAAAATAATGAGCTATTTTTAAAGGCATTTTGTTATTGGTTTGACAAAAAGTAACAATAAGAAGTAGATATGGAGCTAAAAGCCCAGAAGAACAGACATGCTTGAACATCTGACCAAAGTTAATAGAAGACATAAAAGTGTGTGACATATTGAAGTAGTGGAATATAAAAGAGGTGTAAATGAGAGAAATGTCATTTGGGAGAGATCCAAATTAGTGAGAGAAAAGGAAATGGTAAAACAATTATACTAGATATTAGAATATCTAGAAGACAAATAGGCTACAAAGTAATAAAGGCCAAAGAAAGGGAACATTTTAAGAAATGCATAAACTCTCATTAAAAGCAGTAGCAGAGGTCAAGTAAAGTGGAACAAAATCTTAGAAGAGATCTTTTTGCTTACAACAGATTGTAGACGATTACTGAATGAATAAATAAAATTTAGGCAGACAGCTGAAGTAAGAACAAAAATGAGTCAAGGCATGGTGGCTCACACCTGTAATCCCAGTACTTTGGGAGGCCAAGGTGGGTGGTTCACCTGAGGTCAGGAGTTTGAGACCAGCCTGGCCAACATGGCAAAACCTTGTCTCTATTAAAAATACAAAAAATTAGCCAGGTGTGGTGGCATGCACCTGTAACCCCAGCTATTAGGGAGGCTGAGGCAGGAGAATCATTTGAACCCAGGAGGTGGAAGTTGCAGTGAGCCAAGATCATGCCACTGCACTCCAGCCTGTGCAACAGAGTGAGATTCTATCTAAAAAAAAAAAAAAAAAAAAAAAATGTGAGACACAATCTAAATAATATTCTGAAGAAAACTGTCATAATTTTTTAAATGTAATTTTATTTGGTCTTTAATTAATCACTAGCGAGCTGTCACCAATATTGGATTTTGTCTATATAGTTTTCTCTGTAAATTTATTTTAAGCTTTGTAAATGTATTTTAGGCTCAAAGAGGCTAGGACGGAAAAAATATTATGCAAATACTGTTTAAAAGAAAGCTTGAGTGTCTATATAAATATCAGAAAAATCTTGCCAAGAGTGAAGATGATATTGAACAATGATATAGCTCAATTTTATTTCAAGAAGAAATAAAAAATCATGAAGCATATGTATCTAGCATCAGAATATCAAAATACATAAATCAAAAAGATAGTATTTTAAAAGATACAGATAAACCTATAATTATAGTTGGACATAACGACATTCATCTCTAAGTAATAGCTAGAATAAGTAGACAGGAAATCAGTAAGGATACAGTAGGCCTGAACAACACAATCAAGCAACTTGGCTTAATTGCTATTTTTAGAATAGTAATTCTAAAAATACACCTACAAGAGGGAATACACATGCAAGTGAACCTGTAACATCAACTAAGATAGACCATATACTGGGAGATAAAGTAAATGTCAATAAATGTAAACAAATTAAATCATAAAGAATATAAAATACTCTCTTTCCATAATAGAATTTAACTAGAAATTAATATCATAATGACATTTTGAAAAATTTTCTAACATTTAGAGGTTAAACAACATACTTCAAGAGTTATAAAGGAAATTATAAAGCCTTTGAATTGAGTGAAAATTAAAATAAACATAGAAATGAAAAACAAACATCAAACATCAAAATTTGTGAAATCCAACTAAATCAGTGCATAGAGGAAAACATATGGAATTTCAAGTTTATATAGCAGAAGAATAGTTTAAAATCAATAAACTAATATTCTACATTAAAGCACTAGAAAACTAAAACAAATTAATTACAATGCAACTAGGAAGAAATAATAAAAATAAGAGCAGAAATCAATAAAACAGAAAACAACAAAATAGTAGAGAAAACAATTCATGTTAAAAAGCTGGTTCTTCAAAAAGATCATTAAAACTGATAGATTAAAAATGACCTACTAATATCAGAGATAAAAAATGAATATCCCTACACTTTCTACTACATATATTAAAATGATAACATGATATTAAGAATGACTTTATGCCTATAGATTGATTAGGTGAAATGAACAAATACCTTGAATGATACAAACTACAAACATATTTTGAAAGAAAGAACCTGATTTTCCCTATTATCTATTTTAAAAATAGAGTTTGTAGTTATAAGCCTTCTCTCAAAGAAAACTCCAGTGGTAGAAGGCTTCACTGGTGAACTCTACCAATCAATTAAGGAAGAAATAACATCAACTCTACAAATTACCAAAAAGTAGAAGAGCAAGTAAAACATCCTAAATTATTTCTGAAGCCAGAATTACACTGATAGAAAATCAGAAAAGGCCTTACAAAAAGACTAAAGACAAATACATAAAATGAATGAAAAAATAAACACAATATCAAAATTAATTAATTACTTAATTAAGTGGATGTAAAAATTCTCAACAAAATATTAGCATACTTAATCCAACATTATATACACAATGAGCAAACTGGGTTTCTCCCATGAATGCAAGTTGGTTAAACCTGTGAAAAATCAATCAATGTAAATCACTTTATCAACAAACTAAAAGTAAAGAACCTGAAAAACCATAAGATTGTTTCAATCAACAGAAAAATATCATCTGACAGAATTTAATATCCATTCATGTCAAATACTCTTGGTAAACTAGGATTAGTAGGAGACTTCCTCAAACTGATAAACAGTATCTACAAAAAAACCCACTAGAGCTAACATATTTAATAATGAGAGAATGCTTTCTTCTTAAAACTGAAAAAAAAAACAATATCCCCTTCTCTACTTCTATTACACATTATCTTGGAGGTTTCATGCAGTGCATTAAAGAATGAAAAATAAATAATAATAATAAAAGCATACAAATTAGATATAGAGAAATAAAAGGTTTAATTTATGATCTTCTGCATACAAAACCACACAAAAAATAGCCAGTAGAACTGATAAGTTTAAGAAAGTTGCATGATGAAAGGTTAACAGAGAAAAATCAATTTTATTTCTATATACTATCAATAATCAATTAGAAAGTGACTTTTAAAAATTCTAGTTACAAGAGCATTAAAAAATGAAATTTCTAGGGACAGATCTAACAAAATATTTGCAAGATACTGAAAGCTATTGATATGGTTTGGCTGTGCCCCCACCCAAATCTCAACTTTAATTGTATCTCCCAGAATTCCCAGGTGTTGTGGGAGGGACCCCAGGGGACGTAATTGAATCATGGGGACCAATCTTTCCCATGTTATTCTTGTGATAGTGAATAAGTCTCATCAGATCTGTTGGGTTTATCAGGGGTTTCCACCTTTGCTTCTTCCTCATTATTGTCTTGCCACTGCCATGTGAGAAGTGCGTTTCACCTCCCACCATAATTCAGAGGCCTCCCCAGCCATGTGAAACTATAAGTCCAATTAAACCTCTTTTTCTTCCCAGTCTCAAGTATGTCTTTATTAGGATCAATACAGCTATAAAACATTCGTGAGAGAAATAAATAAAACCCAAATAAATGAAGAGATTTACAGCATTCATAGATCAAAAGACTCAATATGTTAAGATGTAATTCTCTCCAAATTGATAACTATTTTAGCAAAATCCCAGCAGGCTTATTTGTAGGAATCAACAAGATGATTTCTACAAATTTAGGTGATTCTAAACTTTATATGGAAAAGCAAGGGAACCAGAATTTTAAGCAATTAAAAAAAAAAAGTTTGAGGACTCATATTACCTGATTTTAAGACTTAAAGGCAATGTGATGTTGGCATAAAGATAGACATATAAATCCGTGGAATAGAATAGAAATCCACAAAAAATAGACAGGTACATATACAGTCAAAGAATTTTCAACAAAAGTACCTACAAAATTCAATAGAAAAAGAATAGTCTTTTCAATAAATAGTGCTGAAACAGTTGGATATTTAAATTAGAAAATAAAAAGCCTCTTACCTAACAAAATTTACAAAATTAGTTTAAAATAAATTATTAATACAAACTTAAATGTGAAACCTAGAACTCTAAAGTTTTAAAAGAAAATATAGAAAAGATACTTGTAACTAGGAATTCAAATAATTCTTACATAGGACACGCAGAAATACACACACACATGAACCTTAAAGAAAAACTGATAAACTGGCGTTTATCAAAATTTAAATCTACTCTTCAAAAGACACTATTAAGGAAATAAAAAGACAAGGTACAGATGTTGAAAAAATATTTGCAAGACTCATATCTGATGAAAAAATTGTAACTGGAATATATAAAGAACACTTAAAATCAATAAAACATTTCACCAAAGAAGAGATATGCATGGAAAATAAGCACATAAAAAGATGCTCACTTTGGGAGGCCGAGGTGGGTGGATCACCTGAGGTCAGGAGTTCAAGACCAGCCTAGCCAATGTGGTTAAACGCTGTCTCTACTAAAAATACAAAAATTAGCCAGGCGTGGTGGCGGGCACCTGTAATTCCAGCTACTCAGGAGGCTGAGGCAGGAGGATCGTTTCAACCTGGGAAGCAGAGGTTGCAGTGAGCCAAAATCATGCCATTGCATTGTCACCTGGGTGACAATAGTGAAACTCCATCTCAATAAAAAAGAAGAAGAAGAAGAAAGATGTTCAGCATCATTAGTCATTAGGGAAATACACCTGCCTTACTGGCTAAATTTTTTTAACTGTCAATACCATGTGTTCTTAAATAAATAGACCACTGGGACTCTAACACCTTGCTAAGGAGAGAGTAAAACGATACAGACACTTTGCAAACAATTTAACAGTATCTTATAAAATTAAATATACAGCTGCCACACGAATCAGTAATCACATTCCTGGATATATACTTAAGATATATGAAAACATATTTCCTTAAAAAGATCTTTTTAAAATATTTACAGGAAGTTTATTTGGAAAAGCCAAAAACTAGAAACAGCCCAATTATCCATCGACTGGAAAACAGATATGTACACAAACTATTATCCACCTAGAAAATGCCATATTACTCAACAATAAAAAAGCAAACTCTCATTCATGCAACCATATAGAAAAGCTTCAAAAGCTTTATGATTAGTGAAAAAAAGACAACATAATTTATGATTCCATTCATATGACATTCTAAAAAAAAGGCAAAACTATAGGGACAGAAATCATATGGCTGGTTTGTCAGGGGCTACAAAGAATACAGTGAGGCATGAGGAAACTTTTTGCGGTAATGAAAATGTTACCCTGATTGTGGTGAGACTGACACTACTGTATACATTTGTCAGAACTCATTGAATTACACACTTTAAAACATCAATACATCTAACTTTCAAAAACGAATTATAAAAAATAATGGATGTGCTACCTAGCTAGGAGTAGTAGAGTCAGCTGACACCTTCTGGTTCTTAACTCTTTCTTTGTCAGCCTCAGCAATTGAGCTCATGACATATTGTTTTCTGGGTGGCCCACACAAAGCACTGAGTAAACTGGTGGTTCAAGAACCTAACCATTTCCACCAAATGTGGCGCCCCTCTAGCAGGCAATCTTTGCTTTGCATTCCCTTCACTAGTTTGGAAGAGACTTTGCCCATGGGCATTAAGGTCTGAAAGCTGCCCTTGTTCAACCTTGCCTCCACACTTTTCCTTTTATGTTTAATACTTCTCAATTAACGTTTTGAATTCTCGACTTTATTTCAGAGAGGCTAGTCTGTGACAGACTGCATGTGGATCAGCCTGAAACAGCAAGATGAGGCTTGAGGATTGGATCACTCACCATGAGTTCTCTGGTAATGAGGTCCACATCCCCAGACACATCCCTGGAATGAAGTCATGTGCAGACAGGCCCAACACAAGGTATGGTCCAGTTGTTAAAAGATTCACATGTGGTAAGCTGGGATGCCATGCCATTCAAGGGGAATGCCCTAGCCAATAGGATGTTTCAGGCATTCAAAATGTATGTGAGAATAATGAATACAAGAACAATGGAATTAGTTGTTAAATTGCATTGATGCCCTATAGGTTAATAATGCAAAAGTTAATGGCCTTAATTACTGGGTATCCTTTGTGCTCTTCTATGGACCACGATCTTCTGGTGAGTCTTCTGGTTTCACACAATATGTCCCTTCCAGCATTGCCATTTTCCTGAGCCTTTTAATCTCTTCCTCAAAAGTCTCTCTCTGCAATTTAGGCCTTTGAACTGCACTTGGTGCGGGCCATTGCTTGTTCCAGGTTTCTTGGAGCCACTCTAGCACTGAATTTGCCAGAGTCTCTTTTCTAGCTTACAAGGAAGCCCTCATTTCATGAAGTGGGCAAGTCGAATAAGATGTAATGAGGTCCACATCCCTGGCCACATCCCCGCAGTTAAGTCATATGCAAACAGGCCAAGGACAAAGTCATATGCAAACATATAAAAGATTCATATGTTTTAAGCTGGGATGCCATGCCACTGAAGGGGAATTCCCTAGCCAATAGGATATTTCAGGTATTCAAAGTCTCAAGAGGCACAGAGTCTATTAGCTAGCTTATAAAGAAGCCCTCATTTCATGCAGTGGACAAGCAGAATAAGATGAAGATCAAGCCAGGATTTGACAGTCACAGTGAATGAGTTCCAAAGGCAGTCAAATGTTCAGCAGGGGCAAGTATGTTACACCAAAATCAGAGCTCTGATTAGGAAAATCGCAGCTCCTGACACATGGGATTGGGACAAATGAGTAGATGTTTTTGAAAATTTTGACCTTTCCAGATCTCTAAATCTTCTGAGCCTGAAGAAGTAGCCCACTGCTCTTCAGTAAGAGCTAGCAAACCCCCACAACTAGCAGCAGCAATGTAAAGAAAATAGAGGCCTTTCTCCCACATAAAAGCAGGTGTGTGCCTCAGGAGATATCCCCAGTTCCCTTATCAGAGTTACACTTCTGGCCACCAGGCTGATAATATGGTCAAGTCACAGATAGGGACATGGTAGGTCTGATAAGAAAAAAAGGAATATTATCCCACATATACTACAAGACCTAGGACTTGTACCAACAAGACTAGAGGGACTCATTGGACTAGATTCTGGGGATTCTAGGTCAGAGAAAGCAGAAATAAGACTAAATAAGTCAGAGTTTATTCACATGACACTTTCTCAGAACACAGGGCATTGCATTCTGGTACGGACCCCAGAAGATGAGGCAAACTCTGCTAGCGTGACT
This sequence comes from Homo sapiens, assembly GCF_000001405.40. Taxonomy (NCBI): domain Eukaryota; kingdom Metazoa; phylum Chordata; class Mammalia; order Primates; family Hominidae; genus Homo; species Homo sapiens. The sequence continues at coordinate 80,374,093 of NC_000004.12, read as the reverse complement.
CCAAGAAACCTGGAACAAGCAATGGCCTACACTGAGTGCAGTTCAAAGGCCTAAATTTCAGAGAGAGACTTTTGAAGAAGAGAGGAAAATGCTCAGGAAAATGGCAATCCTAGAAGAAACATATTGTGTGAGACCAGAAAACTCACCGGAAGATCATGGTCTATAGAAGAACCCAGAAGATAGCCAGTCGTTAATAGCATAAAAAATGTGCTAGTTACTGAAGCATCAGAATCATTAAGAAGTTCAGTGATGGCTCTCCAATGCATTCCAGGGCTGAATGCAGAAAAGCCTTGTTGCATACCTAGGCTACCCTAAGCACAATGGGCATAATAGTACCTTGATGCAACAGAAGCTAAGTGATGGAACTTAACCATAAGACACCAGGGACTTGTAATTATCATAAGGACCAATGATGTAATGTGCCCAATGACCACCAAGGGCACTGCAGAAAGTTATGAAGATGGTTTATAGAACATGGTAATCCTTGAACAAAACAGATGGGCAATCAATAAAGGAATAACTCAATTTGTATCATAGTTAGAAATTAAAGATGGTTACTTGAGGTTGAAGGCAGCCATTCCAGTAAAAAAGCACGATGCACTGCCATATATCATTCAGTTTTTAGACCAAGAACTTGTTGACTAAATATGTGACCACATGCAGTATTCACCATAGCAAGTATTCATTGCAGTGATTCTCTTCTCCCCCAAAGAGACCTATGGGCATTTACTCAAATGAGTACACACAAAGGAAAATGTAATACCCACACAGTTAATGGACTACTGAATCTGCATTCAATCTGCATTCAAGCTGAGACTGGTATCTAGAGATCCAAAGAATCACTGTGGCCCCGCTCTTAGAGTGGAAGCTTATGGGGGTCAGATGAGAAATGGAGTCCTGGCCAAGGGTTAGTTTATCCTAACCCTTGGGGTTAGGTCCACTGTGTCTATGCAAGGGTTAGGTCCACTGTGTCTATGCAGCCACTCAGGGATCATTGACTGAAATGTCTAATTCAGATTGTCATACATGGCAGCTGGCACAACCCCCATGTTGAATCCTGGAGAATAAGTGTAGACTACCACAAGCTCCTCCAAGTAGTAGCCCTAATTGCAGTTGCAGTGCTACTTGCTGGAACAGACTAATGTGTCTTCAGATAGATACTATGTAGCTATTGATTTCGTGAATAAGTTCTTTTCTGCCTCAATTAGGAAATAAAGTCAAAATCAGTTTGATTTCTCATTAAACAGACAATAACATGTATTTACAATTTTGTCTCGGGGTTATGTTTATTCTCCTGTCCTCTGTCATAATGGAATCTGGGCTGGTTGGGCATCCCACAGAACTTCACATTGATTGATTCCATCAGTGACATCACGCTGATTGGAAAGGATGAACAAGAAATGAGTAGTACCTGGCTTTCAAAAGGCATGGTCACTCCAGAGGAGGGCAGATAAACCCTACAAAGCTCTGGGGGCCTGCCACTTCATACATTTTCCCTGATATACTACAGCCTTACTCAATGTGTTAGTTCTCTAGGACTGCTATAATAAAGTATCACAGAGAGGATGGCTTAAAACAGAAATATATTTTCTCACAACTCCAGAGTTTGGCTTTTCTCCTCTTCGGCCTTAGCCAGCACTGCTATCTGGGGACTCATTGAACGCCTGCTACACAAGCATCAAATCCAATACAAAGTTGCATCCCGACCAGGGAACCCATTCGTATGGTTTGAATCTGCATTCCCACCAAGTCTCATGCCAAACTGTAATCCCCAGTGTTGGAGGTGAGGCCTGTTGGGAGGTGATTGGATCATGGGGGCAGATTTCCCCATAGTACTGTCCTTGTGACAGTGAGTTCTTGTGAGATCTGGTTGCTTAAAAATGTGTGGCACCTCCTCCATCTCTCTCTTCCTCCTGCTAAGTCTGTGTGAAATGCTGGCTTCCCCTTCACCTTTCAGCAGATTGTAAGTTTCCTGAGGTCTCTCTAGAAACTGAGCAAATGTTGCCCTGTTTCCTATACAGTCTGAAGAATCATGAGCCAATTAAACCTCTTTTCTTTATAAATTACCCAGTCTTAGTTATTTCTTTATAGCAATGCAAGAATGGACTGATACAGAAAATGGGTACTAGGTGTTGGGTATTGCTATAAAGATAATAGAAAATGTGGAAGCAGCTTTGGAACTGGGTAATGGGCAGAGGTTTGAAACTGGATAATGGGAAAAATGTGGAAGACCCAGATGAAGACAGGAAAATGAGGGGAATCTTAAAGCTTCCTAGATACTTGTTGAATGATTGTAACCAAAATGCTGATAGTGATATGAATAGTGAAGGTAGGCTGAAGTGGTCTCAGATTGAAAGAGGCAACTTATTAGAAACTAGAGCAAAGATCACTTTGTTATGTCCTAGCAAAGAACTTGGCTGCATTGTGCCCTGGCTCTAGGGATCTGTGGAACTTTTAATTTGAGAATGATGATGTAGAGTATTTGGCAGAAGAAATTTCTAAGCACAAAGCATTCAGGATATGTCCTGGCTGCTTGTAAAAACCTATGTTCATATGTGTGAGCAAAGACATAATCTAAAACTGGAACTTATATTTAAAAGAGAAACAGAGTATAAAAGTTTGGAAAATTTGCAGCCTAGCCATGTGATAGAAAAGAAAAACTCATTTTGGGGGGAGAAATCCAAGCAGGCTGCAGAAATTTGTATAACAAAAAAGGAGCCAGGTGCTAATAGCCAAGATAATGGGGAAAAGGCCTCAAAAGGCATTCCAGAGACCTTCGTGGCAGCCCCTCCCATCACAGGCCTGGAGGCCTAGGAGGACTGAACAATTTTATGTGTTAAGCCCAGTGCCCCGCTATCCTGTGCAGTTTCAGGACACCAGTCCCTGCATCCCAAACCCCAGCCACCCCAGCTCCAGCTGTGGCTCAAAGGGGCTCAGGTATAACTCAGGCCATTGTTCCAGAGGATGCAAGCCATAGCCTTGATGGCTTCAATGTGGTGTTAGGACTACAAGTGCACAGAATGGAGGAGTTGAGGCTTGGGAACCTCTACTCAGATTTCAGAGGATATATGAAAAAGCCTGGATGTCCAGGCAAAACCCTGCGGCAGGGGCAGAACCCTCATGGAGAACCTCTTCTAGGGCAGTGAGGAAGGGAAATGTGGAGTTAGAGCTCTCACACAGAGGCCCCACTGGGGCGCTGCCTAGTGGAGATGTAAGAAGAGGGCTACCATCCTCCAGACCTCAGAATGGTAGAGCCACCAAAAGTTGCACCCTGTGCCTGGAAAAGCCACAGGCACTCAACGCCAGCACATGAGAGCAGCTGTGGGGGTGAAGCCACAAAGCCACAAGGGTGGAGCTGCTCAAGGCCTTGGGAGCCCCCCTTGCATCAGCATGCCCTGGATGTAAGACATGGAGTCAGGGGAGATTATTTTGGAGCTTTAGGGTTTAATGACTGCCCTGCTGGGTTTCAGACTTGCCTGGGGCCTGTAGCCCCTTTCTTTTGGCCGATTTCTCCCTTTTGGAACAAGGGTACTTACCTAATGCCTATCCCCCATTGTATCCTGGAAGTAACTAACTTGTTTTTGATTTTACAGGCTCATAGGCAAAAGGGACTAGCCTTGTTTCAGATGACTTTGGACTGTGGACTTTTGGGTTAATAGTGGAATGAGTTAAGACTTTGGGGGACTGTTGGGAAGGCATGATTGTGTTTTGCAATGTGAGAGGGACATGAGATTTGGGGAGCCCAGGGACAGAATAATATGGTTTGAATCTGTGTCCTCATCAAATCTCATGTCAAATTGTAATCCCCAGTGAAGAAAGGTGGGGCCTGGTGGGAGGTGATTGGATAATGGGGTCAGATTTCCCCCTGGTACTCTCCTTGCAATAGTGAATTCTCAAGAGATCTGGTTGTTTAAAAGTGTGTGGCACCTCCCCAACTTTCTATTCCTCCTGCTCTGGCCATGTAAAGTGCCAGCTTCCCTTTCACCCTCTGCCATAATTGTAAGTTTCCTGAGGACTCCCCAGAAGCTGAGCAGATGCCACCATGCTTCCTGTATAGCCTGCAGAATCATGAACCAATTAAACCTCTTTTCTTTATAAACTACCCAGTCTCAGATATTTCTTTACAGCAGTGTAAGAATGAACTGATATACCCATTGTATAGAAAATAGATACAGCAGAGTGTTCATGAACATGGGGTCCTCTGGTCATATTATGCATGCACTATCCAGAAGCTGTCAGCTAAAAGTGCTGGAATGTTCACTGAAGGCACCACTGAATCTCCAGCTCGGCAGCAATACTATTAAAAACCGATGTGCATGCACTAGGATACTCACCAAGGAAAACAGCAAGTGTCTCACTGAACTACAAGCTATGGCTGCCACTTAGGCACCTTGGGCATCTTGTGCCCAGGAAGCAGCAGGCAAGAAGAGGAGACATGATCTTGTAGAGTAACTGATGCTGATCAGCAAAAAGAAGGACTGCAGTTATAGAATGGGGATAGGGAAGAATACATGGCTAACTCAGGTGAACCACCTAGGCATCTGTTCATACGCTCTTCCTAAATTTTAAATGTGAATGACAAATGTATCAACATGGGCCTGAGTAGAGTAGGATGATAAGGGCCTCAGGGCATTTGTGAATAAGGATTTTGGGTCACATCACAAAATCCTAGAAAGATGATAGACAAAGGCAGGAGATTTAGAATGGATAGTGGAAGAGGAAGATTATGAAATGATAGGGGCGGTAGCTCACCCCATTGACTTTATTGTGAGTTTCCTCTCATGAAGAGAGGCCTTTATGCTCTGGAGGAGCTGCTCCATGTGCGCATGAAGTAGATCTGTATGTTACAAGATGCATCACTCAGATGTACCTTGTATAAAGGAATTTCTGCCAGCTGTGAGGAGCTTCATGAGCTGACAGCTTCCAGCTTTTAACCCTTTCAAGATTGGCCTCAACTTTTCTTAGTGGTCCCCAGCCAATGAGTACAGTGGAGATACTAAGGCCTGGCTATTTCATCCCATGTGGGATAACTTGTACTGTGGAGCTCTCCACTGTGCTGAGAGATTCTCTCAAAGTTTGAGGTTAGGGCTCTGACCCTGCTCAGTCCTGCTTCCTCACTTTTCCTTTCACAGGTGTTTGCTTTCTCAACAAACCTTGTGCACTCCTAATTCTCACTGTCTGCTTCCTGGAGATGCTAATCTGCAACAAATCACAACTGTATTGCTTTGGTTTGAAAGCAACAAACCATGAGAATAACTATTTAAAAATATGATACTAAGCAAAAAGTTAAAATTATTTCACCAAACACTTAAAATACATAAATTTTCTCATTTAATTCTCAAGTATATGATATTCAGTTTTTATCATAAAATGATATACAAAAATAAAACAAGGTTGACAGGATAAAGCCATTCTTATATAAAATAAACTCTGGAATTTTATCCGACTTCATCACCATAATTTTTTTTTAAGATTTGGGGTCTCACTATGTTGCCCAGGCTGGTCTTGAACTCTTGGGCTCAGGCAGTTCTATCTCAACCTCCCAAAGTGCTCATCTCCATAAAATTAAAAGTATTTTATAAGTTAACAGACATTTCTACCTTCTATAGTTAAAAACAAATTGAAGGAGATAACTATACATTATAGCAGAAAAAAGAATTTAACAGATGCTAAATTAACTAGATTGAATAGCATAAGAAAGGCTGGAGATTTATCCAGTTTTTACATTTTATTCCAGATATACTTGAGAATAAAGGGTACAAGAGCCCTACTCTAAATCACCATAGAAATCCTCTTCATCAAGTACAAAAAGATCATAGGGATCCATGTATATACAGCATCTGAGACTCCTATCAAGTGAATCCTTACAGTAATTCCCAAAGACTTATCTAATAGTCTTCCAAGAAGATGGCAATAGCTAACCAGTACAATGACAGAATCCATCAGGGCTACCACTTATTCCGATCATCTGCATTTCAGATACCATGCTCTAGCAAAATAAGGTCATTATCTCAGAACCAGTTTTAAGAGGGGTGAATTCATTTCCCAATAAGATAAGGTGACCCAAAGTGAAAAACTGATGATCTTACAAGCTCATCCAGGCAAGTATCCAGCCTGAGGGATGACTCAGTTGTAACTACTGACTAGGCTCTAGGAACACAATAGTCAATGTGTGTCACGAATATTGAAGTTCCATCTCTCCACCACATGGCAATCAGCTGAACTTCTCACTATAAATAGAAATTATCTGGCACTTATGCAAGAAAACCATGGCCAGTCCCTGGGGGAGAGAATTCCCTGTCCTGACAAATGGGTATCAGCTAAATTACTCCCATCCCTTCTTCCAACCTCTACAGCTTCTGTCTTATGGCTACTATAACCAGTGGAATGAATCTCAGTGGAGAAGAAATCAGAGATGTTTATATAATAGTGGAGCAGAGATGATTTTGAAGCAAAGGACGAGAAAGCTAGGAGAATGAAGAATCGACTCTATCCCCCCGACCCTGCCCCACATCATCACCTTGGATACCAACCCAGTAAATGTTGAAATGGGTGCCTCTAGTTGGTATAGTTTTTGGAGAAAAAAGGGCCTTAGTGAAGGAACAGGTACAAATTAAGACAAAGAAGTAAAGAAAATAATTTGTGAATAAGGGGAGTTTATCATAAGATTGAGGCAAAATGGATGTGTTCACTCACACCACTCTTTGCCTGATTAACTCTAATTGAGCCTTTAAGAATCAATTTAGTGGTCAAACATTAAGAAGAACTTTTCTTATTCTTCACGTCCCCTCACAAATCTTGACTTTGTATTACTTCAAAATGTTGCCACAGTACTTACGATTGCATTTATCATCTTCCATTGCAATTGTCTTTTTGAACTGAAATTTAAATCACATACTATAAATTCACACTTTTAAGGTGCACAAGTCAATAGATTTTAGTATATTTACAAAGTTATGCAATTATCACCAATGTCTATTTACACATATTATCACACCAAGAAGAAACCTCATATTCATTAGCAGTCATTGTCCAATCTCCCTTCCATCCAGTCCTTGGAAACCATGAATCTACTTGTCTCTATAGATTTACTGATACTGGACATTTTATATAAATGGTATCATGCAGTAAGTAGTCTTTTTTTTCTAGCCTCCTTTGCTTACCCTAATGTGTTAAGGTTTTTCATGTTGTTGCATGTAACACTACTTTATACCTTTTGATGACTGAATAGTATTTTATTACACTTAGGTACCAAATTTTTTATCCATTCATCAGTTGATGGGTTGGACAATTTCTACCTTTTAACTACTATGAATAATACTGCTACTGACATTTGTATATGAGTTTTTAAGTGGACTTAGGTTTTTCAATTCCCTTGAATATGTGTTTGGTAGAATTGCTGGGTCATATAGTAACTCTACGTTGAATTTTTTGAAGACCTGCCAAACTGTTTTCCATTTTCCATTCCCACCAACAATGTAATGCCTTTCATTTCTCTAGTCTTCAAGCTTCTTGAGGGTGAGAACTAAGTCTTGTTTTCTATTGTATTCCCAGAGCCTACAGCACAGAGCCTAATGCACTATGGTTGTCTAATTTGTGAAAGACTGAATAGAAGCCCAAAATATTTTTTTAGCATTTTTGCCTTCTTCTTGAACATCCCTAATCAAAATATACCTTCCTGATATCTTTAACTTTCATCTCTCCAGACTTTTTCCCCTGTGAAGCTATTGTGAGTAATTAACATACTCCTAGATACCAGCACTTCTCGAAATAGGTGCTCTATGATTGCTAGACCAAAGAATTGTGACCTACTTGGAGTTGCTCACCTGCATATTAAAGAAGTTAATGTAAGATGATCTGATAGTGGAACCAAGTGTTTCCAAGTTGCCAGCTGGCTGGCAGTCAGATGTTCATGCATATTTTCAAAGTGATCCTCCAACAAATATAGGCACAGGACATATTTGGCTCTAGGACACCATCTGCTGGCCCTGCTGTCAACAACACTAAATGAACCTGGAAGGGAATGGACTACCACATGGGGCAAAAGGCAACATATGGTACCCATCCCATTACAAAGGCAACCAGAGAAGATCTGCAGATGAAAGGGCCTTCAAATTCTAGCAGCTCTGAATGGGGATTAGTCTCCCAAAACTGGCTCATAAGTAGCCTGATGACTTCCAGCTCTGACCAGTTAAAGAGACTATTGCATAGAGGAAATACCTACTTTGATCCTCAAACACAAAATGGACATGTGATGTCAATAGAACTTAGACTTTAAACATGAATAACTCGTCTTGATATGAAATAGCTTATATCACTCATAAAATTGCATGTGAATTTACAGGAATTCCTTGTAAAATCTCACAAAAATATTTCCACTTCTGCTTCTGACTGATAGACATTGACTGATTCTCACAAAAAGAAAAGACTCTCCCTGATGTTTTACATAAGACACATTTCAAACATTACATTGTACACAGAAAACTAGCCTCATTTCAATTTTCCAAGAATAGAAGTTGATAGTGAATAACTATGTTCGGTAAATTCCTGAGATTTTATATAAATTACCTGTGATAAGCAGAATGCCCCTTTCTCACATTAATGGGATTAAGGATATCCATTCTCTAATCTTAAGAACTGTGAATATGTTGCATTACATACCAAAAGGTCCTTTGCTTCATGAACAGACACTTTTCAAAAGAAGACATACATGCGGCCAACAAACATATAAGAAAAAGCTCAACGTCACTGATCATTAGAGAAAGGCAAATCAAAACCACAATGAGATACCATCTCATGCCAGTCAGAATGGTGATTATTAAAAAGTCAAAAAACAACAGATGTTGGCAAGGTTGTGGAGAAAAAGGAACACTTTTACACTGTTGGTGGGAGTGTAAATTATTCAACCATTGTTTGCCAATTCTTCAAAGACCTAGAGACAGAAATAGCATTTGACCCAGTAATTCCAACACTGAGTATATACCCAAAGGAATATAAATCATTCTATTATAAAGATACATGCATGTACATGTTCATTGCAGCACTGTTCACAATAACAAAGACATGAATCAACCCAAATGCTCATCAATGATAGACTGAAAAAAGAAAATATGGTACATATATACCATGGAATACTATGCAGCCATAAAAAGAATGAGATGATGTCCTTTGCAGGAACATGGATGGAGCTGGAAGCCGTTTTCCTCAGCAAACTTACACAGGAGCAGAAAACCAAACACTGCATGTTCTCACCTCCAAGCGGGAGCTGAATGATGAGAACACATAGACAGGACACATGGAGGGGAATGACACACAGTGAGCCTGTCAAAGTGGGGCTTGGTTGAAGCAAGAGCATCAGGAAGAATAGCTAATAGATGCTGGGCTTAATACCTAGGTGATGGGATGACCTGTGCAACAAACCACCATGGCACATGTTTACCTATAACAAACCTGCACATCCTGCACACATACCCCTGAACTTAAAATAAAAGTTGAAGAAATAACAAACAAAGGGCCTTTGCTGATGATATAATAAATATTATTGACTTTAAAACAGGGAGATTATCCTGGATCATTAGATGGGCACAGTGTAATCACATAAGTCCTTAAAAGGAGAGATATTTCTTGGACCAGAGTCAGGAAAGAACCTTCTGAAGAGGAAGTTGGAGAAATCTGAAGGGTAAAAGGGTCTTGACCCACTGTTGCTGGAGGGAGTGGGAAAGCTTAAAAAGAAACATGAACAGCTTCTAGGAGCAAAGACCAGCCCCCAAATGACAACCAAGGAACTGGAGAACTCAGCCGTATAATCATAAGGAATTGAATTTGGCCAACCAAACTGAACATGGAGGCAGTTGCATCCTCAGAACCTCAAGACAAGAATGCCATCCAGCCTACACCAGGATTTCAACCTTGTGATATACTATACAGAGGGCTTGGCCGAGCCACACTGTATGGACAGAACAATGAACAAAGAAATGTGTGTGTGTGTGTGTGTGTGTGTGTGTTTTGAGACGGAGTCTCGCTCTGTTGCCCAGGCTGGAGTGCAGTGGCGCGATCTTGGCTCACTGCAAGCTCCGCCTCCCGGGTTCACGTCATTCTCCTGCCTCAGCCTCCTGAGTAACTGGGACTACAGGCTCCCACCACCACGCCAGCTAATTTTTTGTATTTTTAGTAGAGACAGGGTTTTGCTGTGTTAGCCAGGATGGTCTTGATCTCCTGACCTCTTGATCTGCCCGCCTCTGCCTCCCAAAGTACTGGGATTACAGGCGTGAGCCACCACGCCTGGCCAGAAATGTGTTATTTTAAGTCATCAAATTTGTAATAACGTGTTATGGCAGCAATAGAAAACTAATATATTCCCAAATATCAGTATGTTAAACTTCAGTATACTATGGTTCTGAAACACAATTACCATTAGAATGGCCACTTCTAATTGCATATTCCCAAGACCAAAGCACATTCCACTACCAAATGTTATTGTTTATAATGTGTACATGGGAAGTTTATGCTCATAATTACTGGGTAATTTTAAAGATGTTATCCAATGATAGTATACTGATTTCTAAGTAATTATCCTCCCCAACATTTATACTTTAATGATCCACTTTTAAAAATGAAATAGGTTATTAATTTGTCAACTAGTTAGGTCTTTATAAAATTGCCTTACAAGTTTGATGCAGTTCACTTTAGGAATATATCTCTTTCATCATATGTTTTAACATATTTCATTACATTTATGTTTAATATAACCACATATTATATACTAACATATATAAATTAGGCATATAAACAAAAGTTAGTGATTAAAAAGTTGAATGAATTAATGCTTAGAAAAATGTGAGAACATAAATGATACTAAAGATTTACAGACCTCAAAGTACAAAGAATTCTAAGGCAAAAGTCATTCATATTTTTAGTATATAAATGTATAAAACCAATAATATCAAGTTACTTTTTAACAAGACTTTATTGGTATGATGACCATATTTTGGTATGTATATTTCAAATTAGTAGCTTGAAGTTGCATGTGGCTTTAGTGCAAGCATATTACAGTTGCTTCAGTTCCTCATCTGCAGAACAAATGCTTAGGATATTCCAAGTTTTACCTGCTCCACCCAGTGCTTCTAAATTAAACAATGCAAACGAAATTGAATTACTCCAGAGGTCTAGAATATAACATAAAATCTGGATTTGGAACATGGACACTTACTTTTGCTGAGCTCTTTCAGCCAGTCTTGCAATCTCTATAGCCGCTTTCCTTGCTTCAAAATCTTCCCTTTTCACTCTCTCTCCAGTCCCTCGGTAGCCTAGCTCCACCAACTGGCGGGCCAGGGTTTCATCCTAGAGAGAAAATCAGTTGTTAGGTGAGTGGGCAAATGAGACATACTATTTTTACTTACTTACTTATATCTTACATCTGCAATGTATACCAAGCAATTGCTTTAAATGAAAAATTAAATGTATTTAAAAACTAGACATGATCTATTAGATATAAAAAAACTAGAATTTTTCTAATAATACATTTATACACATCTGATTTGGTCTTCCCTTTCCCATATATTTAAGATGAAAAAAAAATGTCAATTGCTAATTTTTCTCTAAGGGATTAGAGGACAAAAGTCTGTTGTGTTTTTAATCAATTTATGAGAACAGCTGTAGGTAATTAATAGAGTATCTTTAAAACAATAAAAATAGAGACAATGGTACTCATACACAAAAGACATTTTAAAAACCAATGGCAAAAAAAAAAAAGAACCAAGCTGCTTTGAGAGAGCTCATTGTTTTAGAGCCTTACTTCCTTGAAGTCAATTAACCGATGGCACAGAATATTATAACTTCAAATACAAAATAAAGAGGAGCAGATGAATTTCTTACTTAACTATGAAGATTGTTTCCATATAATGTTGGTACCAATAAAAACAGAAAAGTAGAAACCCAGATCACCACAAAAAAATTTCAAATTGAAAAAAAAAAAAACTTCCCAGTATTTTAGGCCTTACACTTTTCTTACTTTAAGAATTATCGCATACATCTTTGTCAGTTGCATGGTATACTTAAAAAAATTGTTTCCCCATGATTTGACAAGGTACCATTTTTCATAAAGTTATTAGTATAAAGATTAAAGTATTCAACAACAGTATTTATATATTAATAGTGGCCATTATCATTTTAATTAAAAATAAAATATCTAAAACATAGTGAAAACAGAATCTATTTTATTATTATGAAGACTTAATTACTATATCGCTGTTGAATGCAAGAACTGTCTAACAGTTAAAGGAGAAAACTTAAGATGTCTAGTTAACAGTCTATTCAAACCATAGTGGTTAAAGTTGTAAGTATTCAAACAAAATAAAAAATTATATACTGTAAGCCTAGAAACCTGCCACTTTTATAATCATTAAAAACAAATACTAAACTCCACAAAGCAATGTGTATACATTTGCCAAATGATTACAATGCAAAGCAACAGGTCTTGGAAGGCCCAAGGCTATTATTCTTGTTTCTGAGACACTCCCTTGTTTAATAGATTTCTCTATTCCAGTATCCTTTAGTGTGAACCACAAAACTGAGCAAATATCTCCACCTAGTGGAATTAATCTTTAATAGAAATACCAATGCAGATTTGGGGATTAATTTACAAAAGTGAGATCATTTGAGTAAGAATTTTCTTAAATACATTACTGAAAGTGAATTTGTAGAAAGGACTTCAGCTCAGTGAGGTTGTGGGACTCTTCTGTAGGAATATAAATTCCTTGTGGTCAAACATAGAATTTTGCATAATAAAGATTACTTACAATTTGCTATATTTATTTTGAATACTGAGTGAATTTTGTATCCCTGTGTGCTTTACCTGGGTTACACAAAATCATTTGGATAATTCTGGACTCACCAATGCTAAACTATTTTGCAAGAAATGGCATGATCTATTGAGAAAATAAACTGAAAGTCGATATTGATTGCCTCACTTACCATTATCATACCCTAAACTGATGGAATCATGAGTCATCTGTCCATTATGACAACGTATTTCTTGCATGTCTTGAAATATCCTAGTTAAGAGCAAAGCTACTAGCCCAAAGGAAGTACAATGCCCAAGGTTATCTGAGGAATCTGAGCCTTGCTTGGGGGATTTGGCTTAAAATGGAATCTTGACTTGCATATTCGAACACAACTTTTTCCCAACCCCCAAAATAATGTATGTAAGGGCCACAAAGAAAGACAAAGTCTCAGTGACAAACTCTAAGGCTTGGCAGGTCTCAAACAGAATCCAGAAGAATTTTCCACCAAATATAAGGTAGATGGACTTGAATTGGAAAATAAAATCTACAGGTCCACTGGAAAGTTTGTTTTTTAAAAATTCCATATCCTTTTTACATTATCTGCCCTAGGATTCAGAAACTTGAAACCTATAACAATCAGAAGGCTAGTGGCTGGCCACTTACCTATCAACTAAATGAGTGTTACTAAGTTCATTTTATCTATTTCTACTTACAATAGTAATACATTATTGTTGTGGAAAACCTAAAGATATACGACAAACATATCATCCACATCATATATCACTATGATCTTATCACTCAGAGATAATCACTGACATCTTGGGGTATAGGCTGTCAATCCTTGCTCCTGACGTGTGTGGGTGTGTTGGATTTCTTTAAACAAAAGTAGTATCATGACTCCTGCTTGCAGAGCAGAGAGAAGGCACCTAGACGTGTACCCACCAGCATACCTTCCTCAAGCCAATACCGCCTCCAGCACAGTCTTCAGGAGGGGCTCACTCCCCCTCCAGCTGCATTGCCTCTGTCACTGTGGTGAGTGCCTGCAGAGAGGCAGGCACCTCAGCACCTGCTACCACTCTGCTGTGGTTGCCAAACCTCACCCTCCTCCCCCAGTTCAGTGGATTCCAAACCTCAAGGAGCAAGAGAATAAAGTCAGGGGCCAATACAAGTCCCCCAGACTTAGAGCACACAGTCCAGGAGTTGGCAGTTAAGCACTGGCCCCCTAAAATCTCCCAGAAATGAAGCCAGTCAGCTGGATCCACTTTATACCATAGCCAAACCCTCAAAGTCATCAAATAGGATAAAAGAAAAATAAAACCCATTCCAAGGTCAGAAACCTCAAAAATTGAAAGTACATAAGCCCACAAGGGTGTGAAAGAATCAGCACAAGAATGATGAAAACTTAAAAAGCCAGAGTGCCTTCTTTCCTCTTAATGACCACATCACTTCTCCAGCAAGGGTTGTGAACAGGACTGAGATGGCGGAAATGACAGAAATAGAATTCAGAATACGGATAGGAACAAAGATAATTGAAGTTACAGAAGTATATTGAAACCCAATGCACAGAAGCTAAAAATCATGATAAAACAATGCAGGTGCTGACAGACAAAGTAGACAGTAGAGAAAAGAATGTAACTAACCTGATTGAGCTGAAACACACAATATGAGAATTTCATTATGTAATCACAAGTATTAATAGCAGAATAGACCAAGTGCAGGGAAGAATCTCAGAGCTTGAAAACTGGCTTTCTGAAATAAGACAGTCAGACAAGAATAGAGAGAAAAGAATGGAAAGGAATTAACAAAACCTCTGAGAAATCTAGGATTGGGTAAAGAGATGGAATCTATGGACTCATTGGTGTCCCTGAAAGAGATGGGGAGAATGGAAGCAACTTGGAAAATGTATTTCAGGATATCATCAAAGAAATTCTCCAATCTAGATAGAGGGGACAATTTTAAAATTCAGAAAATGCAGAGAACCCCAGTAAGGTACTTCACAAGAAGATCATCTCCAAGATACATAATCATCAGATTCTCCAAGATTAAAATGAAAGAAAAACTGTTAAGGGCAGCTAGAGAGAAGCGTCAGATCACCTATAAAGGTAAATCTATCAGACTAACAGCAGACCTTTCAGCAGAAACTCTACAAGCCAGAAAAGATTGGGGGCCAATATTCAACATTCTTAAAGAAAAGAAAATCCAAACCAGAATTTCATATTTGGCCAAACCAAGCTTCATAAACAAAGGAGAAATAAGATCCTTTTCAGACAAGCAGATGCTGACGGAATTTGTTACAACCAGACCTGATTTATAAAAGCTCCTAAAGGAAGCAATAAATATGGAAAGGAAAGACCATTACCAGCCACTACAAAAACACACTGAAGTACACAGACTAGTGACACTATGAAGCAACAACATAAACAAGTCTGCAAAATAACTAGCTAAAACTGTGGTGACAGGATCAAATCCACACATATCAATACTAACTCTGAATGTAAATGGGCTAAAAGGTCCGATTAGAAGACATAGAGTGGCAAGCCAGATAAAGAACAAAAACTCATTGCTGTCTTCAAGAGATCAATCTCACAAGCAATTACACACATAGGCTCAAAATAAAGGAATGGAGAAAAATCTACCAGCAAATGGAAAATAGAAAAAAGCAGGGGTTGCAATCATAGTTTCTGACAAAACAGACTCTAAACCAACAAAGATTAAAAAAAGACAAAGAAGGGCATTAAGTAATGGGAAAGAGTTCAACAAGATTTAACTATCCGAAATATATGTGCACACAAGACAGGCGCACCCAGATTCACAAAGCAAGTTCTTAGAGACCTTCAAAGAGACTTAGACTCCCACACAATAATAGTGGGAGATTTTAACACCCTATGACAATATTAAACAGATCATCGAGACAGAAAATTATCAAAGATATTCAGGACCCAAACTCAGCATTAAATCAAGTGGAACTGATAAATATCTACTCTCTACCCCAAAATAACAGAACGTATGTTCTTCTCACTGCCACCTGTCACATATTCTGAAATCGACCACATAATGAGAAGTAAAACACTCCTCAGCAAATGCAAAATAACTGAAATTATAACAAACAATATCTTGGACCAAAGCACAATCAAACTAGAAATCAAAACTAAAAAATTCAATCAAAACCATAAATTACAGGAAAACTGAATAATCTGCTCCTGAATGACTTTTCAGTAAATAATGAAATTAAGGCAGACATCAAGAAGCTCTTTAAAACTAAAGAGAACAAAGGTACAATATGCTAGAATCTCTGGGACACAACTAAGACAGTGTCAAGAGGGAAATTTATAGCACTAAATGCCCATATCAAAAAGTTGGAAAAATTTAAAGTTAACAACCTAATATTACAATTAAAAGAACAAGAGGATCAAGAGAAAACAAATCCCAAAGCAAGCTAGCAGAAGACAAGAAATAACCAAAATTAGAACTGAATTGAAGGAGATTGAGACACACAAAAAAAATTCAAAAGATCAACAAATACAGAAGCTGGGTTTCTTGAAAAAATTGATAAAATAGGCCACTAGCTAGACTAATGAAGAAGAAAAGAGAGAAGGTTCAAATAAACACAATCAGAAACAACAGGGGGATAAAACCACCAACCCCAGATAAATATAAACAAACATCAGAGAATATTATGAACACCTCTATGCACATAAACTAGAAAATCTAGATGAAATGGGTAAATTAATGGACAAATAAACACTCCCCAGACTGAACCAGGAAGAACTTGAATCCTTGAACAGACCAATAATGAGTTCTGAAATTGAGTCAGTAATAAATAGCCTACCAACCAAAAAAGCCCAGGATCAGATTAATTCACAGCTGAATTCTACCAGATGTACAAAGAAGAGCTGGTACCATTCATGCTGAAACTATTCCAAAAAATTGAAGAGGGGAGAGTTCTCCCTAACTCATCCCACAAGGCCAGCATCATTCTGATACCAAAACCTGGCAGAGATACCACATTAAAAGAAAACTTCAGGCAAATATCACTGATGAACATTCATGCAAAAATCCTCAATAAAATACTGACAAACCGAATCCAGCAGCACATCAAAAGCTTATCCACCACAATCAAGTTGGCTTCATCCTTGGGACGCAAGGTTGGTTCAACATATGTAAATCAATAAACATAATTCATCACATAAACAGAACTAAAGACAAAAAACCACATGATTATTTCAATAGTATGCAGAAAAGACCTTGGATAAAATTCAACATCCCTTCATGTTAAAAATTCTCAATAAACCAGGTATTGAAGGAACATACCTTGAAACAATAAAATCCATTTATGACAAACCCACAGCCAATATCATACTGAATGGGCAAAAGCTGGAAGCATACCCCTTGAAAACTGGCACAAGACAAGGATGTCCTCTCTCACCACTCCTATTTAACATAGCATTGGAAGTTCTGGCCAGGGCAACCAAGCAAGAGAAAGCAATAAAGCATATCGAAATAGGGAGAGAGGAAGTCAAATTGTCTTTATTTGCAGATTATATGATCTTATATCTAGAAAATCCTATCAACTGAGCCCAAAAGCTTCTTAGGCTGATAAGCAACTCCAGCAAAGTCTCAGGATACAGAATCAATGTACAGAAATCACAAGCATTCCTAAACACCAACAACAGACAAGCAGAGAGACAAATTAGGAATGTACTCCCATGCACTATTGCCACAAAAAGAATAAAACACATAGGAATACAGCTAACAAGGGAGGTGAAGGAACTCTTCAAGGAGAACTACAAACCACTGCTCAAGGAAATTAGACAGGACACAAGCAGACGGAAAAACACTTCATGCTCATGGATAGGAAGAATCAATGTCGTGAAAATGGCCATACTGCCCAAAGCAATTTATAGATTCAATGCTATTCCCATTAAACTATCACTGAAATTTTTCACAGAATTAAAAGAAACTATTTTAAAATACATATGGAACTAAAAGAAGGGCTCATATAGTCAGGATAATCCTAAGCAAAAAGAACAAAGCTGGAGGCATCACGGTACCTGACTTCAAACTATAAGGCTACAGTAACCGAAACAGCATGGTACTGGTACAAAAACAGGCACATAGACCAATGGAACAGAATGGAGAACTCAGAAATAAAGCCACATGTCTACAACCATCTAATCTTTGATAAATCTGACAAAAAAAAAAACAATGGGGAAAGGATTCCCTATTTAACAAATGGTGCTGGAAGAACAGGCTAGCCATAAGCAGAAAATTGAAACTGGACCCATTCCTTACACCATACACAAAAATTAATTCAAGATGGATTAAAGACTTAAATGTAAAACCCAAAACTATAACAACCCTAGAAGAAAATCTAGGCAATACCATTCAGGACATAGGCATAAGCAAAGGTTTTATGATGAAATCACAAAAGCAACTGCAACAAAAGCAAAAATTGACAAATGAGATTTAATTAAACTAAAGGGCTTCTGCATAGCAAAAGAAACTATCATCAGAGCAAACAGACAACCTATAGAATGGGAGAAAAAACTATCATCAGAGTGAACAGACAGCCTAAGCAGAATAGGAGAAAATTTTTGCAAATTATGCATCCAACAGAGGTTTAATAACCAGCATCTATAAGGAACGTAAACTTACAAGAAAAAAACAATCAACCCCATTAAAAAGCAAAGGACATTGGGAGGCCGAGGCAGATGGATCATGAGGTCAGAAGTTCGAGACCAGCCTGTCCAAATGGTGAAACCCAGTCTCTACTAAAAATACAAAACATTAGTCAGGTGTGGTGGCATGCGCCTGTAATCCCAGCTACTCAGGAGGCTGAGGCAGGAGAATTGCTCGAACCCGGGAGGCGGAGGTTGCAGTGAGCCGAGATCGCGCCACTGCATTCCACCCTGGGTGACAGAGCGAGACTCTGTCTCAAAAAAAAAAAAAAAAAAAAAGCAAAGGACATGAACACTTTTCAAAAGAAGACATACATGTGACCAACAATCACATTTTAAAAAGTTCAACATCACTGATTATTAGAGAACGGCAAATCAAATCCAAACCTAAATGAGATACCATCTCATGCCAATCGGAATGGCTACTACTAAAAAGTCAAAAAATAACAGATGCCGGCAAACTTGCGGAGAAAAAAGGAACACTTATACATTGTTGGTGGGAGTGTAAATTAGTTCAATCGTTGTAGAAGATAGTGCAGCAATTCCTCAAAGACCTAAAAATAGAAATACCATTCGTCCCAGAAATATCATCGCTGGACATATGCCCAAAAGAATATAAATCATTCTATTATAAATATACATGCACATGTATATTCATTGCAGCACTATTCACAACAGTGAATCAATCTAGATTCAATCTAAATGCCCATTAATTACCAACTGGATAAAGAAAATGTGGTACATATATACCATAGAACACTATGCAGCTATAAAATGAGTAAGATCATGTCCTTTGCAGGGAAATGGATGGAGCTGGAGACCATTATTCTTAGCAAACTAACACAGGAACAGAAAATCAAATACCACATGTTATTACTTACAAGTAGGAGCTAAACAGTGAGAACACATGGACATATAGAGGGAAAAAACACACACTGGCAGCTATCAGAGGGAGGAGGATGGGAGAAGGAAGAAGATCAGGAAAAACTACTATGGGTACTAGGTTTAATACCTGGGTGAAGAAATAATCTGTACAACAAATCCCCATGACACTTTTAGCTATATAGCAAACCTGTACATGTAACCCTGAACTTGAAATAAAAGTGAAAAAAAAGTCATATATATGCTTTAAAAATCAAAATATGTTGTAATTAATAAAGTTCAAATAAAGGTCATTGAAAAGTTTGCAGATTTAATCATTTAAACATTTTACCAAAAAAAGTGAATCATGCTGTGTAAAATCTCTCATGACCTACTTCTTCAACATTTAACTGTACATCTTGAACACCTTTCCATTAAGTATATATACAATAAAACTTTAGTGATTACATATTCCAGACAATTTGTAAGGACAGATATTGTACATAATTATTGTGCCTTCAGGTCACTGCCTTCCTCTGAAATGAAAATGATATGAAATCCTAATTTGATTTGTATTGCTTTGATTACTAGTGAGATTCACCATCTGTTCACACATTTATCAGTCATGTGCATTTCTTCCTTTTGAATTGTTTTGAATTATTAAATGAACCCTTTGCTCATTTATTACTAACTAGTAACAACTTTGTGTGTGTAATAAATATATTAAATAAGTGTCTGCAAAATATCTGCAAACAGTCTTCTTAGGTCATTGTTTTCCTGAAACTCTTAATAGTTCTTACTCCAAAACGTTCAAAGCATTTAGGATATATTTTGGTGCCTGGTGTTGAAAGAGAAATACTTTTACTTATTCAAAAAGTTTTTTTATTCCAAAAGACACAGCTGAAACATTGTTAAGTATTGCTTCTTTTCTCCACTGATTTGAAATTTTACATTTCTTTATACTCAATTCTTAAGTATATTAGAGGTGATTTCTCTATTTCTATTCTGTACTATTAATTAGTTTCTCTGCCCTTTCAACCGTATCACAGATAGTGTAGATACTGCCCTCTCAACCTGCCCAGGGAGAAAGCCCCACAACAATTTGTTTGACCTCCACAGATTTCAAGCTTCACTTGTATCAAGCTAACTGCTTCCAGGAACAGCTACTTGACTCAAGATAGAAAGGTTAGAGTTGGGAGTGTCAGAAAGCATGGCATACTCAAATGCCATCTTCTACTAATTTTTGGCAATCTGGATAATTTATAATACCACATTTCTTAATGTTAAAACAATATGACATTTTTGGAATAAGCTTATTGCAGGAGGTGTCTCCCCACAACAGACTTTGGGATGTGGATTTGTGTGCAGAAAATTTACTGGAGAGCACTCTCAGAATTTGCACTCCCACAGGGGTGAAGAAAGCAGGATTGGGCAGTGAGATAATTTATAACAGGGCCTCAGCAGCTCTGGAGTTGGATGGTCCTTTCGAGTTGACCCAAATTGATTAAAGTGGCCACATCTTTTTATCCACAATAAGCAGTAATTTAAAGAGAACTGCCCCAAGAAGGGAGTATGACTTTGGAAGAGATGTTTAGGGTGACTACAATCAGCCTAGTAAGGGGTTTGTCAATTTTATTGATATTTTATAAAAGTAACTTTTGATAGCATTGATCTCTATTATTTTTCAATTTTCTACTTCACTGATTTCTGCTCTTTGTTATTCCTTCTGTCTACTTGCTTGGACTCAATTTGTATTGTTTTAAAGCTTCTTAAGGTAGAAGCTACTATCATTAATTTCTAGACCTTTCTCCTTTCCCCATATAAACTTTTAAAACTGTGAAGTTCCCTCTATAGATTCCTTTATGTATATCCAATAAACATTTATATATTTTGTTTTCTTTTTTACTCAAATCAAATTTTTTTCTAATTTTTCTTTTAATTTCTTTTTTGACATTGCGTTATTTAGAACTATGTTGTTTATTATCCAAATATTTTGGAATTTGAGGGGTATATTCCTATAGTTGATTTCTAGTTTTAATTGTTATGATCACAGAATATACTTTTGTATGATTTCAGTATTTTAAATGTATTGAGACTTGTTTTATGACCCTGCATATGGTCCTTCTTCATAAATGTCCCATGTGCATTTGAAAAGAATAGGTATTCTATTATTGTGTGAACTGCTCTTTTATTTATTTATTTTTTTGAGACAGAGTCTCACTCTGTCGCCCAAGCTGGAGTGCACTGGCACAATCTTGGCTCACTGCAACCTCCGCCTCTTGGGTTCAAGGGATTCTCCTGCCTCAGTCTCCCAAGTAGCTGGGATTACAGGTGTGCACCACTGTCCCCGCATAATTTCTGTATTTTAGTAGAGACGGGGTTTCACCATGTGGGCCAGGCTGGTCTCGAACTCCTGATATCAAGTAATTCACCCACATCAGCCTCCCAAAGTGCTGGGATTACAGGTGTGAGTCACTGCACCTGGCCTTTGACTGCTCTTTAAATCTTTTACATACTTACATTTATTCTAACTTCTGGTTCTATCAATTACTGAAAACAGAATGTTTATGTCTCTAGAAACAATTGTGAATTTGTCTACTCTTTCAATTCTTATCAATTTTGCATAACGCATTTTGAGGATCTGGCATGAGGCATGTAAGCTAATGTATTGATTGACTCATTTATCTATATTAAAAAGTCCTTCTTTTTCCCTGAAATACTTCTAGTTCTGAGGTCTACTTTGCCTGATATTAATATAGACATTATAAATCTCCTTTTCTTTATGCTTGTATAATACATATTTCCCATCCTTTTAATCTATTTAAAATTATCTATTAATGTTAATATAAAATTAACATTATATTAACATTATTTATAAATCATAATTATTAATAAATCATTAATTATAAAACAATTTAATGTATTAACATTAATAGATTGTTAATTTAATGTTATTAATATATTACTATAACTATAACATTAATATTAATCTTAATGTTTTATTATTAATCTGTTAATGTTAATACATTTACATTAAATTGTTGTATTTATATTTAAGGTGGGACAGCATATATGGCTCTTGAACTTTTATCTATTCTGACCATCTCTGCTTTTAAATTGAAATGTTTAGATCATTTACATTTAATGTAATTTTCAGTATGGTTGGGTTTTAATATACTACCTTGTTATTTCTTTCTTATTAGTCCCATTTGCTTTGATATTTGATTATTTTTGCTTTCTATTTTTTGTTTCTTATTTCCATTTTATCTCCACTATTACATTTTTAGTTATATGTCTACTTTATTTTTCAGCAGGTACTCTGTGATTTACAAGAATTATTAGCTTATTACATTCTACTTTCAAATAATATTACACCATCTCAAGTATAAGAACCCATTGCAACATTATCCTCTGCTATCTTTTGTGCTATTGTTGTTTCATACTGTATTTCTGTGCATGTTATAAACCACAAAATGCAATGTCATTATTTTTCTTTAAATAATCAATAATCTTTAAATATAAAACTGAGAAAAAATTTGTATTCACATATTTAGCATTTCTGGTGCTTTTCATTCATTTTCATTTTGATCCAAGTTTCCTGCTTATATATAATTTTCCTTCAACCTGAAGAACTTCATTAAACATTTCTAGTAATATATATCTGCTAACAACAAATTATCCTGGCTGGAAAATAAATTATCTCACCTTACTCTTTTCTTCTGATACAGTGTTCTAGGTTGACTTTTTTCAAATCTTTCAGCACTTTAAAGATGCCGTTCATTTTTCTATGGCTTGCATTGTTTCTTTTTTTTTATTTACTTATTTTTTACTTTAAGTTCTGGGATACATGTGCAGAAAGTGCAGCTTTGTTACATAGGTATACATGTGCCATGGTGGTTTGCTGCACCTATCAATCCATCATCTAGGTTTTCAGCCCCGCAAGCATTAGCCATTTGTCCTAATGCTCTCCCTCCCCTTTCCCTCCACCCCCAACAGGCCCGGGTGTGTAATATTCCCCTCTGTGTGTCCGTGCGTTCTCATTGTTCAGCTCCCACTTATTAGTGAGAACATGTGGTGTTTGGTTTTCTGTTCCTGTGTTAGTTTGCCGAGGATGACAGCTTCCAGCTTCATCCATGTCCCTGCAAAGGACATGAACTCATTGTTTTGTATGGCTGCATAGTATTCCATGGTGTATATGTGCTACGTTTTCTTTATCCAGTATATCATTGGTGGCATTTGGGTTTGTTCCAAGTCTTTGCTATTGTAAATAGTACTGCAATAAACATATATGTGCATGTGTCTTTATAGTAGAATGATTTATAATCCTTTGGGTATATACCCAGTAATGGGATTGCTGGGTAATATTCAGTCATTCCTGTTTTTGGTTTACTTTATAATGTGTTCTTTTACTTTTGTTTTTAAGATTTTCTCTTTATCACTAGTTTTCAGTGATTTTATTAAAACATTCCTTCGTGTAGTTTTCTTTGCATTTATTCTGCTTGGAATTCATTGAACTTCTTGGCTCTGTGGGTTTGTACTTTTCATAAAATTTGGAAAATGTTTAGCTATTACCGTTTAAAATATATTTTATTCCTTCCTTCCCTTTGTTCATTTTGGACTCCATTTAAATGTATGTTAGACTGTTTGACATTGCCCCACAGGTTACTGAGGCTGTGTTCATTTTTGTTTATGTCTTTTGTTATTATCTTATTCATTGCTGGTGAACAGAGTTGTTTTCACTCAATTTTCAACTTCCTTTCTAAACTCACTTATTTGTTAAAATAGGATTTCAGCATTTTTTCTTGTATGTTCATTGTAGATAATCATATTGCCTATATGTAATTATATTCTGACTCTTTTCAAATATTTATGACACTTTCCTTAAATTGCAGCACTGCACTGCTAGACTGCCAATAAAACATTACTAGTAGTAGCAACCATTTTTATCATGTTTCTAATTCTAATGCTAACCATTCAAGTGTTTAAACACTGAGTATGACGTTTCCTATAAGTGTTTGAAAATACTCCTTATCAAGTTATAGTAAGAATGGCTTTAGAATTTTATCTATGCTTTTTCTTCATCTATAGAAATAATCTTTTTTTCTTTTTACATTTAATATCATGAGTTCCTCGTTGCAGTCCTATAACAAATCATACTATTTTCACTCTGACATTATTATTTCTTAATATATTCTTGGATTCATTTTAAATTTCTTTCATCCAGTTCATAAGTAAAATTAGTCTTCAGCTTTCTACTTTGTTTTGCTTTTTAAAAATTGATGTCAGGGCTATGCATGTCCTGTAACATTTGAGAAACTCTCATCCTTTATTTGTGCTAATTTTTATTTATACAAGTCAGACATAAATATATTCTCCATGTGAAATATTAAAACATGGCATATGTAGTGAATTTGTATTGCATCAAATTATCTAAGCTGAAACTTCATTTCCCATAATTTTACTTACTTGGATAGTTACATGTCAGGGTGAACCACAAGAGACATTTGTAATACATTTAGAAAGGAGAAGTGAAGGAGCAGCAATATTGTTTTGGCTTTTGGAGGCTCTCTTCCTTAAGCTTCTCCAACATCTGTGTCAAGTGCATGGTTAGCTCTGTGACTAAAGGTGCCAGCTTCTCCTGCAGAATGCCCCTACCATTAAAATTGTATGGCAGGCAGGGTCACGAGCACCTGACAGACGTTTCATTCTGTCCTCATGGATTCTAGGTTATCCTTGCAGGTCTCAGTGTGACTTCAGGCTCCAGGACCAGACACCAATTCATCACTATTTCATCAACCGTGTTAACAGCTCTCATGTTGTGTAAGGTCAAAACTCTATAAAATAAATTATGTGCACTCATGTCTGTCTGTGTGTGTAGTCCATGGAATGTAGAAGCAAAACTTATTTAGTTTATCACCTTTAGACACCTGAAATAAAGATGAGATTTTAGGTAAACATGTGTTTGCTGCTATATTAGTTTGGGATTCCTCGGTATTTCATATATATGGGAGCCAGGGCTCCCATAAGAAAATACCACAAACTGGGTAGCTCAAATCACAGAAATTTATTTTCTCACAGTTCTGAAGGTCGAACAGCAAGGTGTTGGCAGGTTGGGTTTTTTCTGAGAACTTTCTTCTTGAATTGCAGATGGCCAAGTTCTCACTCAAACTCTTACTGGCGTGAGATGGTATCTCATTGTGGTTTGATTTGCATTTCCCTAATGATCAGTGATGTTGAGCTTTTTTTATATGTTTGTTGGCTGCATGAATGTCTACTATTGAGAAGTGTTTGTTCATGTCCTTTGCCCAGTTTTTAATGGGATTGTTTTATTCTTGTAAATTTGTTTAAGTTTCTTGTAGATTCTGGATATTAGACCTTTGTCAGACGGATAGATTGCAAAAATTTTCTACAATTCTGTATGTTGTCTGTTCACTCTAATTTTCATTTGCTATGTAAAAGCTCTTTAATGAGATCCCATTTGTCAATTTTTGCTTTTGCTGCAATTGCTTTTGGTGTTTTCATCATGAAATCTTTGCCCATGCTGACGTCCTGAGTGTTACTGCCTAGATTTTCTTTTAGGGTTGTTATTGTTTTGGGTTTTACATTTAAGTCTTTAATCAATCTTGAGCTAATTTTTGTATATGGTGTACAGAGGGGATCCAGTTTCAATTTTTCTGCATATAACTAACCAGTTCTCCCAACGCCATTTATTAAATAGGGAATCCTTTCTCCATTGCTATTGTCAGGTTTGTCAAAGATGAGATGGTTGTAGGTGGGTGGTCTTATTCTATCTTCTCTATTCTGATCTATTGCTCAGTTCTCTATTCTGTTCTGTTGCTCTGTGTGTCTGGTTTTGTATCATTATCATGCTGTTTTGGTTACTGTAGCCTTATAGTTTGAAGTCAGGTACCATAATGCCTCCAGCTTTTATCTTTATGCTTAGGATTGTCTTGGCTATGTGAGCTCTTTTTGGTTCTATATGTTTTTTAAAATAGTTTCTTTTAATTCTGTGAAGAATGTCAATGGTAGCTTAATGGGAATAGCATTGTATCTATAAATTACTTTGGGCAGCATGGCCATTTTTACAACATTAATTCTTCCTATCCATGAGCATGGAAGGTTTTTCCATTTGTTTGTATCCTCTCTGATTTCCTTGAGCAGAGGTTTGTAGTTCTCCTTGAAGAGGTCCTTCACTTTCCTTGTTAGCTCTATTCTTAGGCACTTCATTCTTTTTATAGCAATTGTAAATGAGAGTTCATACATGATTCGGCTCTTTGCTTGCCTGTTGTTGGTGTATAGGAATGTTAGCAATTTTGCACATTGCTTTTGTATCCTGAGACTTTGCTGAAGTTGCATATCAGCTTAAGAAACTGTGGGCTGTACTGAATGGGAAAATACTGGAAGCATTCCCTTTAAAAATCAGCACAAGACACGGATGCCTTCTCTCACCACTCCTATTCAACATAGTGTTAGAAGTTCTGGCCAGGGCAGTCAAGCAAGAGAAAGAATTAAAGGGTATTCAAATAGGAAAAGAAGAAGTCAAATTGTCCCTGTTTGCAGATGACATGATTGTATATTTAGAAAACCCCATCGTCTCAGTCCAAAATCTCCTTAAGCTGATAAGCAACTTCAGCAAAGTCTCAGGATACAAAATCAATGTGCAAAATTCACAAGCATTCCTAAACACCAATAACAGACAAACAGAGAGCTAAATCATGAGTGAACTCCCATTCACAATGGCTACAAAGAGAATAAAATACCTAGGAATGCAACTTAAAAGGGATGTGAAGGATCTCTTCAAGGAGAACTACAAACCACTGCTCAACAAAATAAAAGAGGACACAAACAAATGGAAGAACATTCCATGATCACGGATAGGAAGAATCAATATTGTGAAAATGGCCATACTGCCCAAGGTAATTTATAGATTCAATGTCATCCCCATCAAGCTACCAATGACTTTCTTCACAGAATTGGAAAAAACTACTTTAAAGTTCATATGGAACCAAAAAAGAGCCCGCATCGCCAAGTCAATCCTAAGCCAAAAGAACAAAGCTGGAGGCATCATGCTACCTGACTTCAAACTACTACAAGGCTACAGTAACCAAAACAGCATGGTACTGGTACCAAAACAGAGATATAGACCAAGGGAACAGAACAGGGGCCTAAGAAATAACACCACACATATGCAACCATCTGATCTTTGACAAACTTGACAAAAACAAGCACTGGGGAAAGGATTCCCTATTTAATAAATGGTGCTGGGAAAACTGTCTGGCCATATGTAGAAAGCTGAAACTGGATCCCTTCCTTACACCTTATACAAAAATTAATTCAAAATGGATTAAAGACTTAAATGTTAGACCTGAAACCAGAAAAACCCTGGAAGAAAACCTAGTCAATACCATTCAAGACATAGGCATGAGCAAGGACTTCATGACAAAAACACCAAAAGCAATGGCAACAAAAGCCAAAATAGACAAATGGGATCTCATTAAACTAAAGAGCTTCTGCACAGCAAAAGAAACTACCATCAGAGTGAAGAGGCAACCTACAGAATGGAAGAAAATTTTTGCAATCTACCCATCTGACAAAAGGCTAATATCCAGAATCTAGAAAGAACTTAAACAAATTTTCAAGAAAAAATCAAACAACCCCATCAAAAAGTGGACAAAGGATATGAGCAGACACTTCTCAAAAGAAGACATTTATGCAGCCAACAGACACATGAAAAATGCTCATCATCAGTGGTCATCAGAGAAATGCAAATCAAAACCATAATGAGATACCATCTCACACCAGTTAGAATGGCAATCATTAAAAAGTCAGGAAAAAACAGATGCTGGAGAGGATGTGGAGAAATAGGAACGCTTTTACACTGTTGGTGGGAGTGTAAATTAGTTCAACCATTGTGGAAGACAGTGTGGTGATTCCTCAAGGATCTAGAACTAGAAATACCATTTGACCCAGTG
This sequence comes from Homo sapiens, assembly GCF_000001405.40. Classification (NCBI taxonomy): domain Eukaryota; kingdom Metazoa; phylum Chordata; class Mammalia; order Primates; family Hominidae; genus Homo; species Homo sapiens. Next base: position 80,345,800 of record NC_000004.12, on the reverse strand, counting down.
ATCCCATTACTGGGTACATACCCAAAGGATTATAAATCATGCTACTATAAAGACACATGCACACATATGTTTATTGTGGCGCTATTCACAAAAGCAAAGACTTGAAACCAACATAAATGTCCATCAGTGATAGACTGGATTAAGAAAATATGGCACATAGACACCATGGAATACTATGCAGCCATAAAAAAGGATGCATTCATGTCCTTTGTAGGGACATGGATGAAACTGGAAACCATCATTCTCAGCAAACTATCACAAGGACAGAAAACCAATCACTGCATGTTCTCACTCAAAGGAGGGAACTGAACAATGAGAACACTTGGACACAGGGAGGGGAACATCACACACCGGGGTCTGTCATGGGTTGGGGGGAGGGGGGAGGGATAGCATTGGGAGAAATACCCACTGTAAATGACTAGTTAATGGGTGCAGCACACCAACATGGCACATATATACATATGTAACAAACCTGCACGTTATGCACATGTACCCTAGAACTTAAAGTATAATAATAATAATAATAATAACAAAAAGAAACTGTTGGGCTGGGACAATGGGATTTTCTAGATATAGGATCATGTCATCTGCAAACAAACATCACTTGACTTCCTCTCTCACTATTTGAAAACCCTTCATTTCTTTCTCTTGCCTGATTGCCCTGGTCAGAACTTTCAATACTATGTTGAATAGGAGTAATGAGAGAGAGGACATCCTTGTCTTGTGCCAGTTTTCATGGGGAATACTTCCAGCTTTTGCCCATTCAGTATGATATTGTCTGTGGGCTTGACATATATTGCTCTTATTATTTTGATTTATGTTTCTTCAATATCTAGTTTACTGAGAGTAACATAAAGGGATGTTGAATTTTATTGAAGGTCTTTTCTGCATCTATTGAGATAATCATGTGGTTTTTTATTTTAGTTATGTTTATATGATGAATTACATCTATTAATTTGCCTATGTTGAACCAACCTTGCATCCCAAGGATGAAGCCAACTTGACTGTGATGGATAAGGTTTCTTATGTACTGCTGGATTCAGTTTGCCAGTATTTTATTGAGGATTTTGGATTGATATTCATCAGGGATATTGGACTGAAGTTTTCTTTTTTTGTTGTATATCTGCCAAGTTATGGTATCAGGATAATACTGGCTTTATAAACAGGGAGGAGTTCCCCTTTTTCAATTTTTTGAAATAGTTTCATTAGAAATGATATCAGCTCTTCTTTATACCTCTGGTAGAATTCAGGTGTAAATACATCTGGTCTTGGGCTTTTTTTGATTGGTAGGCTGTTTATTGTTGCTTCAATTTCAGAATTTGTTATTGTTCTACTCAGGGATTCAATTTCTTCCTGGTTCAGTCTTGGGAGGGTGTATTTGTCCAGAAATTTATACATTTCTTCTAGATTTTCTATTTTCTGCACGAAGAGGTGTTCATAATATTATCTGATGGTTGTATTTTTGTGGGGTCAGTGGTGATATCTTCCTTATCATTTCTGATTGTGTCCATTTGATTCTCTCTCTCTCTCTTTTTTTTTTACTAGTCTAGGTAGCAGTCTATCTATCTTATTAATTTTTTCAAAAAACTAGTTCCTGGATTTGTTGATTTTTTTGAAGAGTTGTTCATGTTTCTATCTCCTTCAGTTCAGCTCTGATGTTGGTTATTTCCTGTCTTCTGCCAGCTTTGTGGTTTGTTTGCTCTTGGTACTCTGGTTCTTTTAGTTGTGTTGTCAGGTTGTTAACTTGAGATCTTTTTAGTCTTTTGATGCAGGCATTTAGTGCTACAAATTTCTCTCTTCACACTGCTTTGGCAGGATCCCAGAGATTCTGGTACATTGTCTCCTTGTTCTCATTAGTTACAAATAGCTTCTTGATTTCTACCTTAATTTCATTATTCACCCAGGAGTCATTCAAAAGCAGGTTATTCAGTTTCCATTTAGTTGTGTGGTGTTGAGTGAATTTCATAGTCTTGAGTTCTTTTTTTTTTTTTTTTTTTTTTTAGACGGAGTCTCGCTCTGTCGCCCAGGCCGGACCGGACTGCGGACTGCAGTGGCGCAATCTCGGCTCACTGCAAGCTCCACTTCCCGGGTTCACGCCATTCTCCTGCCTCAGCCTCCCGAGTAGCTGGGACTACAGGCGCCCGCCACCGCGCCTGGCTAATTTTTTGTATTTTTAGTAGAGACGGGGTTTCACCTTGTTAGCCAGGATGGTCTCGATCTCCTGACCTCATGATCCACCCGCCTCGGCCTCCCAAAGTGCTGGGATTACAGGCGTGAGCCACCATGCCCAGCCGTCTTGAGTTCTAATTTGATTGCACTGTGGTCTGATAGACTGTTATTATTTCAGTTCTTTTGCATTTGCTGAAGAGTGTTTTACTTCCAAATATGTGATCAATTTTAGGGTAAGTGCCATGTGACAATGAGAAGAATGTATATTCTGTTGTTTGGGTTGAGAGTTCTGTAGGTGTCTATGAGGTCCACTAGTTCCAGAGCTGAGTTCAGGTCCTGAATATCTTTGTTAATTTTCTGTCTCAATGATCTGTCTAATATTGCCAGTAGGGTGTTAATGTCTCTCACCATTATTGTGTGAAATTCTAAGTCTCTTTGTAGGTCTCTAAGAACTTGCTTTATGAATCTGGGTGCTCCTGTATTAGGTGCATATATATTTAAGATAGTTAGCTCTTCTTATTGAGTTGAACCCTTTCTCATTATGTACATCCCTTCTTTGTCTTTTTAAATCTTTGTTGTTTTAAAGTCTGCTTTGTCAGAAACTAGGATTGCAACCCCTGCTTTTTTCTGTTTTCCATTTTCTTGGTAAGTATTTCTCCATCCCTTTATTTTGAGCCTATGTGTGTCACTGCACATGAGATGGGTCTCTTGAATACAGCATAGCAATGGGTCATGACTCTTTATCCAGATTGCCATTCTGTGTCTTTTAATTGGAGCATTTAGCCCACTTACATTAAGTTTAATATTGTTATGTGAGAATTTGATCCTATCATCATGATGCTAGCTGGTTATTTTGCAGACTTGTTTATGTGGTTGCTTCATAGTGTCATTAGTTGGTGTACTGTGTACTTCAGTGTGTTTTTGTAGTGGCTGGTAATGATTTTTCCTTTCCATATTTAGTGCTTTCTTTAGGAACTCTTGCAAAGCAGGCCTGGTGGTGATGAATTTCCTCAGCATTTGCTTGTCTGAAAAGGATCTTATTTCTCCTGTGCTAATGAAGCTTAGCTTGGCTGGAAATGAAATTCTAGATTGGAAATTCTTTTCTTGAAGAATGTTGAACATTGGTCTGCAATCTCTTCTGGCTTGTAGGGTTTCCACTGAGAGGTCCACTGTCAGTCTAATAGGTTTCCCTTTGTAGGTGACCTGGCCTTTCTCTGCGGCTGCCTTTAACATTTTTTCTTTAATTTCAACCTTGGAGAATCTGAGGATTATGTGTCTTGAGGTTGATCTTCTTGTGGAATATCTTACTAGAGTTGTCTGTATTTCCTGAACCTGAATGTTGGCCTATCTTCTTAGGCTCAGGAAGTTCTCCTGGATGATATCCTGAAGTATGTTTTCAAACTTGGTTCGGTTCTTCCAGTTTCTTTCAGGTACCCCAATCAGTCGTAGGTTCAGTCTTTTTACATAGTCTCATATTTCTCACAGGTTTTGTTTGTTCCTTTTCGTTCTTTTTTCTCTGTTCTTGCCTGCCTGTCTTCTTTCAGAAAGATGGTCTTCAATCTCTGAGAGTCTTTCCTCTGGTTGGTCTATTCTGCTATTGATACTTGTGATTACATTGTGAATTTCTTGTGTTTTTCATCTCCATCAGGTCAGTGATGCTCCTCTCTTACCCAGCTATTCTTGCTATCAGCTCCTGTACTGTTTTATCATGATTCTAGCTTCTTTTCATTGGGTTACAACATGCTCCTTTAGCTCAGCAAAGCTCATTATTACCCAACTTGTGAAGCCTACCTCTGCCAATTCAGGCAGCTCAGCCTCAGCCCAATTCTGTGCCCTTGCTGGAGACCTGTTGCAGTTATTTGGAGGAAAAGAAGGCACTCTGGCTTTTCGAGTTTCAGCATTTTTGCAATGACTGTTTCTCACATTTTGTGGCTTATCTAACTTTAATTTTTGAAGATGCTGAACTTTAAATGGGGTTTTTATGGGGTCTTTGTTGTTGTTGTTTCTTTCTATTTTTCTTTTAAATCTCAGGCCATTCTTCCATAGGGCTGCTTGTTGGGGGATCACTGCAGACCCTAGGTGCCTCGGTTTTTCCCTTACCTGAAGGTATCACCAGTGAAGGCTGTGAAACAGCAAAGATGGCAGCCTTCTCCTTCCTCCGGGAGCTCCATCCCAGTGGAGTACTGACCTGTTGCTGGCCCAGACCCTCCTGTAGGAGGTGTCTGGAGACCCCTGTTGAGAGACCTCAGTCAGGAAGGATGGGATCAAGAGCCCACTGAAAGAAGCAGTCTGGTTGCTTTTTGGTAGAGCAGGTGTGCTGCGTTGGGGGATCCTTCCTCATCCACACTGCCTGGACTCTCCAGAGCCAGCAAGCTAGAAAGGCTGAGTCAACTGAACTGCAGAGACATTGGCTGCTTCTCCCCTCAGAGGCTCTTTCCCAGGAAGAGATCAGAGTTCTGTCTGTATAACCCTGGCTGGAGTTGCTGAAATTCCTGCAGGGAGGCCCCTGCCCAGTGGGAAGGAATGGATTGGAATCTAACTCAAAGAAGCAGTCTGGGCCAGGCACGGTGGCTCACACCTGTAATCCTGGCACTTTGGGAGGCCAAGGCGGGTGGATCACCTGAGGTCAGGAGTTCAAGACCAGCCTGACCAACACAGTGAAACCCTGTCTCTACTAAAAATACAAAAATTAGCTGGGTGTGGTGGTGCATACCTGTAATTCCAGCTACTTGGGAGGCTGGGGCAGTAAAATTGCTTGAACCTGAGAGGCGGAGGTTGCTGTGAGCCGAGATCGCACCATTGCACTCCAGCCTGGGCAAAAAGAGTGAAACTCCAAAAAAAAAAATAATAAAATAAAATAAAGGAGTGTTATGGCCACATTCTGGAACAGCAGCTGTGCTGCATTGTGAGGGGTGAGGGACTCCTCCTGTCAGGGCCACCTAGACTCCCCAGAGCCAGAAGGCTAGAACTGAGTTGCCCAATCTGCAAAAATGTCAGCCACCTGTCCCCCTGGGAATTTGTCCATCTTAGGCAGTCTCCAGTCTACTGCACTAGCCAACTGGAATTCTAAGCGAGTGGGTCTTAGCTTGTGAGGTGCAAGGGAAGTGGGGCCTGCAGAATGACACTGCTTGACTCCCTGAATCTCCTAGAGGAATATAAGGATGAAACTCCCACCTTGTCAGGATTCCCAAGGCTGGAGACTGAAAAACTCCTGGGTCTCTGTGTGAGCCTCTGTGTGAGCCTGAGTGACTACTCTGCTGAGACTTTGCACAGTTCTGAGTATTGGATGGAAGGCCCTGGTAAAGTGGCCTCCTGAGGGGATCTCCTGATCTGTGGGTTGCAACGATCTGTGGGAGAAGTGTGGTTTCCAAGGCAGGGTTGCACAATCACTCACAGCTTCCTTTGGCTGGGAATGAGGGATCCTTTGGCTCTGTCTCACCCTGCTTTTCTTCATTATCCATGGGTCGAGTTGATTGCCTAGTGAGTCCCAAAGTGAAAACTTGGATATTTCAGTTGAAGGTGCCAAATTCACTCTCCATTTTCATTCTTCTCCATGACAGCCATGGACTGCAGTTGCTTCTAGTCAGCCATCTTGGCCCCTCCCCATTTCTATTTTATAAATAATGGGAAGACAATGCCCTAAGTGAAACTCCATGTTGTTTATCTCTGTAAATACTTTAGCCATTACTGCTATCCATTAGTCAGAGACATTTTAAATAATTCCAACACTCTTTGATCCTTTACCTGAGAAAAGCAGGTTAATTAGGACTTTTATTTTTCCAGTGGTCATAGGCACCTTTATTAAAATAAAGGGCCTGTGTTTATTTAAATAGAAGAATTACTAAGAAAGAACCTGGAAAATTATATTGTAATAATTTTGCCAAAACTTTTCAACTATTTCTATATTGATTTAGGGAATTAAGTTAATTAGGTTAGATAATACTAACTCCCAGAACAAATATATTTCTTTGGGTTAGCAGAGGAAAATCTAATTGCTGATACAGTGATGCATTTCTTTTGATGCTTTGAAGCTATTCAGTAAAATAAGCAAAGCACAGTGTACATAGCATAAAGTGCTTCTTTTATTCTTCTGAGCCACCTTACTCCTCTCTAGCTTATCAAATAATTAACTGGGGTTAGTTTCCTTTTTTCCACATTTCTCTTTCTTCCTAAGCAAGCATTATGTAAAAAGTTGTGTGGTTATTAGATTCATACACTATTTGTGTACTTACTGTGATCTGAGATGTTAAATAATTATATTGTGGTCAGGGTAATGGCAGCAAATTGTTGGCAAACTCACGACCAAAAAGAATAAAAGCACTATTTACAAAGATACGGGCAAAATTAATGGAAACCAACATGGGATCGTGAAGCATCCTTGGGTTAGCAACAGTGGGAAGCCATTAACACCATTTGGCATAAAAGAAGATAAGGGAGGAAGCAATTCCTAGAGCAGGGAGTGCTGCCAGACCCTGGAGAGAGTGCTATAGCTAATGGAATGAGAAGATGGCCAAACCTAAGGAAGGTAGCTGCTTCTAAACCACAGACAGTAGGAAGATGGCAGGGAATAAATTATCTAACCACTTCCTTCCAGCCCCCTGCACTCCAGTTGGTACCTCCTATTGGCTGAAACCAACCCAAAGCCAAAAGCTCCTGATTAATGACTGTGAAGGTCATTGTCCAGGGGCACAGAATGGATCTGGCACAGATTATATGATTATTTGTATGTCAATCATTGGTACTAACTTTTTATGCAGATTAACTGAAAACTTTTGGGAGCAGAATATACTACACAATACAAGAGTACCTGGAAGATAGTAAATGTTTGTAAAATGCTTGCTGAATAAATAAAACTTAGACCGGACTGTAAGCATTATATACTTAGGTTTCTGAGGTCAAGTCTAGAATAGATTCTTACTTAAACTCTTAGCAGTGTAGGCAATATCCACTACATCAGGCGCTTGGTGAAGGATTATCGACTAAAAAGGTGGCTGGATAAATACATGGGTGTACAGATAATCAGATGAAAGTATAGATAACTCATAACATTTTATATACTTTAGGAAACTTGAATAATCTAGTCCAACTGTTTCATTTTGTAGGTAAAAAATGGAATTTCAAGTTGATTAAAAACACAATATTGCAGAGTTAGAACCAAAAAAAAATCTTGTGACTCTAGCCTCTTCTAACTAAACATGCTACCTCTAATTTACAGTTTACAATTTGTTTCATTCAAATAAATTCAAGAGATCTCTTGTATAACATTGTGACTACAGTTAATAACAATATATTATGTTCTTTTAAAATGTCAAGAAAATAGATTTTTAAGTGTTCTCACCACAAAAAAATGATAATTATGTGAGGTAATACATATGTTAACTTGATTTAGCCATTCCACAATATATATAATTTAAAACATCATGTTGTATATGATAAATATCGACAATTTTGTTAGTTAAAATAAAATGTTTTAAAAGTTGTTCCATTCAAATCAAAGTCAGTTACTGATGATGATGATGTGTGTGAGAGAGAGAGAGAGGAAAAGCACAAGTATCAGCTCACTTAGCATGATCCATGATTTGTGAAACATGCTTGCCATACTACTGAAAGAATGCTGAGGAGTCTACTTGTTTCTGTGTGACCTAAGTGCACAATGAACTTACATCCACAGAAAGTATTTGAGAATGTAGATCTCTAGAAATAATAGCACTTTAAAAGTTGTCACTAATCAATCCAAATATATACATATATATGTAAACATATATATACCTGTCTAATTATCATTATTCAACTAAATCTTCATCTTACTTTTTATGAAAGTACAACAAAAATAAGCTTAATCAATGCCAAATATAAAAGTAAATTTCTTTGTCATTTCCCCAAATATAATTACCACCTTCCATTTTGGAAACCTTTAATGAATTCTGATTGATGGGCTGGGTGTGGTGGCTCACACCTGTAATTCCAGCACTTTGGGAGGCTGAGGCCGGTGGATCACTTGAGGTCAGGAGTTCGAGACCAGCCTGGCCAACATGGTGAAACCCTGTCTCTGCTAAAAATACAAAAATTAGCTGGGTATGGTGGTGCAGACCTGTAATCCCAGAAACTTGGGAGGCTGAGGCAAGAGAATCACTTGAACCTGGGGAGCGGAGGTTGCAGTGAGCCGAGATGGGGCCACTGCACTCTGGCCTGGGCCACAGAGTGAAACTCTATCTCAAAAAAAAAAAAAAAAATTCTGATTGATGAAACACAAATTATTAATTTCACATCTGTAATTAATATTAATGTTTTAGGTCCATACTCACATGAAGAACTGTGCCTTAAAAAATATTAAAACCTTTCTTAATAATACTAGGTTTAAATTTGCCAATCTTCCACATATGCTACAAAGATGATTTTAGTCTATCAAGATGTTTATAGCGTATATTTCATTTTTTGTTTATTTAAACATTCAAAAATTTAGATGTAAACATTGTTTAGCAGCATTACTTTTTCAGTGTCTTGGATGCAAGGCATAAACTGACTTTTATGACTTTAAATATATTATCTGTATAATGTTTTAAAATTTTGCTTTTGAAGCCAGGAGCTATATTGGAAATACCACCTACATTTATTTTTTAAATGTACTGAAGAATAACACTTTTGAAACCTGTAATCCATATTTAAGTGAAATGCCTCTGTAACCAATCTTTGAAGTCCAAAAGTGTCAATCCACTAAAATGCAGTTACCTTGTTGCAGTTCAGAAGTGTGGGGAGCTGGTGGCAGGATGCAAATCCTTCCCAGACTGATGTGGCTTTTCACCACATAGTGGCGCCTGTTCTCTCTGGCCTAAATAGGGATAAGGCATTTCTGGGTCCTGTGGAGAGCACGGCCGACTCTCCAGGTGAGTGTCCATTCAGTGGGCCTATCCGGGAAGTTTGGCTAGGAATATACTGGGACTTTAGGAGCCATCGTCCGCCTCCCAGCTTCCTAGCACTGATGACTTGTTAATTCCTGCGCGTCCGGGTTCTCCCGTGGCACAGGACAAGAACTCCACTCTGTCCCCCACCACCCTGCAGCGGGGGTAGCTGGGGAGGGGATTGGCTGTTGGGCAGAGGAAAGCAACCCATTAGGTCCAGTTTCGCTCCTTTTTTGTGTGTATATTTTTACTATCAAAGTTAGTTGTGATCATCAACTCGATAAACTTGAATCAGGAATATGTCTGCACAACTACCTGTAATGCGTCTCTGTAATTAAAGTACTTTCAGAATCAATTAGTGTGAGGTGGAAGTTCATGAACCCAAACGCCCAATATAACACCAAATACACTAGGTTGGTGTAAAGATGCCATCTTCTGTTCTTTAATATACCAATTGGCAAAGCAGAGAGAAACAGGTGTCTGTCCTAGATCACAGCCGGAGACTTCTCAGCAGACCTCCTTCCTCACAGAGAGCGGCTTTGGAATGGGAGTGGGCTGGGAGGAGGCAGGGGAGGCCAAGAAGCACAAATTCATGGCTCCCCAGTGTGAGTGTGCCCGCGCGTTTCTGCGCTGGGTGACTCTAGGGGCCCAAGTTCTGTCCGGACCGGGGAGCGCGGGGCGGTAAGGACGCGGCAATTCACCTCGCCAGCGGCTTTAGTGTCGCGGTCCCGAAACCGCGGCGCCTGACAGCTGAGCTGTCCAGCGCCAGGGGGCGACCAGCCCACGAAGCGGGAACTCGAGGAGGGACCGAGGGACGCGCGGCGGCGGCTACTCTGCCGCGCTCCGCCCTTACCTCCAGGTAGTACAAGTCCACAGTAGTGATCTGCGAGTCCAGGAAATCTTCATAGGCGTTGAATTGAGTGACAATATTGTCCAAGGCCTTCAGCCCCTCTTCCTGATCCATTGCGGTATCCTCGGCCGAAGCGTCCCTAGCAACGGAAGCAGGAGGGCAGGGTCAGGAGGCTCCACCCACTTCGTTCCTGCCAATCAGTTGAAGCCGGTGTGAGCTTTGGACGTTAATCCCACCCCCCGGCGGTTTGTTGCAGTTTCTGTCTTCTGCCTCACTCCTGTGAAAACTTTCTGGAATTACCCACCCAAGTTCAGGTCGGATACCCATCCACCGACTCAGGCTTCAGTGAACTGTTGAGCAACCAGAGAGGTGCAAACTGCAATCCAAAGTTAAAAAGTATGACACTGCCTACATACTTAGACAAAATATTAGGAATTAGCTCCCAATTGCATTCTAAAACAATGTTATGCAAGACAAAAATACCGAGACATTTTGCAAAAAGACTGTCTCAAAAACAAGTATATCAAATGGTGTTGTGACAACGACAATAATAAAATAATGATTTTGTTAAATTATTTTTAAAGTTATAACAAAGGTAAATTATTGCTAATGTTTGTGTACAAGAAGCAATTTATGAAATTCCCAAAGGAAAGAAACTCAGTCAAAAAAATGTCTTTGCAGACCTTTTTTGGCACCAAGTTCTTGCACTTATTTTACTATTTTAGCACAGTGAAAAATTTTGCTGTGTTGAAGCTGCCCTTTTTAAAGAATAAAATATCTGTGAAATCTTATTAAATAAAGTCTTTCACTAAAGATTTTTTGTTTTCTTCAGAACAGTATTGTGTTTTTAAAATATGAATTTAAAGTAATCCAACACAACAGCTGGCAAAATATGTTCAGAACCAATCTTTGGATTTTAATATTTTACAAACCATCCTTGGGAATTAGCATATAATACAATGCTAAGCCTTTAATTGTTGCTCTGTAAGTACGTTTCTAATTCATCTTGAAGATTTTCACAGATTTGCTAACAAAATTTTAATGAAAACATCTGGTAAGATACTTCATTTCAGTTAGCTTTCCTAATTTAAAAAGTTCATCTTAAAAATTAGGATGTCATGACTTGCAAATTTTAAGTGATATAGACACAATATTTAGGATGCTACTAACTTGTTTTTTTGTTTGTTTAATGAATGTATTCTGACATGTTTTTAAAGATATTTTGGGCCTTATTTTTGAATGCAATTTAATTATTGAATTTGGGAAAACAAAAAGGAGATAAAACCTTGGACACTGGTAACCCATCAAAAGTAATAATAGGCCAGGTACAGTGACTCCCAGCACTTTGGGAGGCCGAGGTGGGTGGATCACGAGGTCAGGAGTTCAAGACCAGACTGGCCAACATGGTGAAATTCCGTCTCTACTAAAATTACAAAAATTAGCTAGGCATGATGGTGGGCGCCTGTAATCCCAGCTACTCAGGAAGCTGAGGCAGAAGAATCCTCCTATATCAAGATTTCATCACTTTTAAGAAACAGTAAAGCATCTAGAGAATGTTTGGGTTTATTAAACTAGAGCACTTTAATGAAAAGGACCTATATGTTAGTAAAATGTGAGGTCATGGTTTGGCTATATATTGTTCTATTATATCAATTGTGATTGTGCATTTTTTAGAGAAACCTCATTAAATTTGCCATTTGGTCAACATCTCTTTGATGAAGTAATCTCTACAGCATCTAAATTTAAACAATCATGAAATTATTTTCAGTCAATGAGTCTAGAAATGTCTTCTAACTCAAAACACTGAGGCTGATTTTCAGCAAATCAGCTTCTCTATTAATATCAAGAAAATTCATAAACTTATCCTTGTTCCTCACAGTAAGGCTAGAATTAATAGTGCGTATAACTCAATTGTCCTTTTCTAAACTTTCAATTTAACTTCAGAACCACTTTCAGACCTGTGCCTGAGAAATGAAAGGGTGGCAACAAAGAAATTAGTAAGTTTCGGCAAGCTTCTCTTTTCATTGCAAGGCTTTTGTTATGATCAAGAAATACTTTATTTTGGATAACATGCATTCCTACTTCAAGTCCAAGATTTTTAAAGACTGAAACCTGGAATTTAGCACCGATCCCAGAAATTCCATTCTTTGCAAAAGGACAAAGAAGGATTAGTATATTCATAATAAAACCCCAAGATGTAGGAAAGAGGAAACATATGTTATGTAAGAATAACAAAATATATGCCAGATTTAAGGTACTTACTTGGTGGAAGTATATTAAAAAGTTTCAAATTAAGCTCTACACTTTTATATTCCAAAATATTTGGCAATATACTATGATAGCTGACACAGTGAAAGGAAAACATACTTTGGTTTGTTGACATGACAGGAAGGGAATGTTTTGCTTATGTTAATAAGAACTTGAGGATCTATTAAGACGTTCTATTAATATGTTATCATATTGTAGGAAAAAAACATATACTTACTCTAATAGGACAAGAGATTTGTGTCTGGTGTTGCCTAGCTGCTTGTTAACTATGACTGCAGATGAGGGCTATTGCTTAATCATCAGCCAAGGAGAGCTTTTTTGCACTTAGAAACAATGGTGATACTAAATTTACTTGAGCTATTTCTCGTGATGAGATCGCTGGACTTCCTCACAGTCTCAGTTATTCTAGGATGCTGGAGTTCTGGTTCCACTGCTTCTCTGTCCTGGAGACACAATGTGTTCATGTGTCATAATCCGGGAGTTTGCTCCTGCCTTGTCATTGACAGTGTGAAAGGAAAATTTCAGAAGAGAGAAATACAAGTATAAGATGGAATTCCTCCCAGGACTGGGGTTGACAGATGTCTGCAGCTAATAAAGATTGAAAACTACTACTGTGCTATGGGATAGATGATGGGTATGATCACCACAACCACCACTTTGGAACAGAGAAAAACTTGGGCTCTCTGTGGCTCTATAAGGCATTACCAAAAACCTCACTGAAAATTCCCTCAAGCTTTTTGGCTACATGGAAATCAGCCTCTACCCTAAAACTCCACTCCCCCTGAGTGGGCAAACAATCAGAACATAGCACCTGTGAATAGACGGCCACCACAATAAATGTGGAGCTGCCAGTTGCAAGCAGGTGCCCAGCATTGCCCTACAATCTATGTTATCTTTTTCTTCAGTTCACTCTTACCTTCTACTATGGCTTTTTCCACTTTCTCCTCTCTCCTTAATCTTATATCATCCTTTCTCAAAGCAGATAAACTTAACTCTTATACCCAAAAGAAGTAAGTTATCACAATAGATTTCCCACAGTCAAATGCTGTATACAAGCTTATTCACATTCATATCAACGTTTTACTTCTTCCATTGTGTAAAGGAAGAGATTTACCTCCTTCCATACCTTCACTACACAGGTTCAATCTCCTTCTGTCTTCCCAGGGTTTCTCATTTTAATTATTCCCTCTCTTCTTTGTTGTTAATTTATCTCTTCTCTCCCTCCCCACCCCAGCTCCTTTCCCATTTTAAAAATAAGCAAATGATCCCAAAAATCACCCTCACCTCCACAGACAATGTTAGCTATAGGCTTTCCTGCCCTTTACAGCAAAACTTTTGGAAAGAGCTGTCTACAATCACTGTCTCCATTTCCTTACCTTCCACTTTCTGCCCAACATATTCCAGTCTGTTTTTACGCACTGCTCCACGATTTTCACCAAAGTCAATTATGACATCTTTGCCATTAGGCCCAATAGACATTTTTTCTGTCCTCAGACTGCTTGACATTTAGCAGCATTTGACCCTGTGACCACTCTCTTCTCTTCGAGATTCTCTTTTAGCTTCTGTCACATTACTTTGCACTGAGGTTGGTTAGTTGGTTGTTTGGTTGGTTCGTTGGTTTTCCATTAGCTGTTTCTTCTCAGTTCTCTTTGCTAGCCCCTTTTCTCCTTACCTAGCTTTTAAAAGATTGGAGAGTCTCAGGGTTCTCTCCTAGACCCTTTGCTGACTCTACACTTTTGTTACTTGGAGCTCTCACCCACACTTATTGCTTTACTTACTGCCTTACATGCATATGGTTCCTCTATCTATATAATTAACTAGGTCACTCTTCCAATCACATATCTAACTGCCTAGCAGATGCCACTGGATGTATAACATGTATAAATGAAAATTTTCCTCTTTTTGTGCCTCCTAATTTGTTCCTCCTCCAGTGTTCCCTCTTTCAACACACAGGTTCCTCTCCTCTCAGTTGTTCATGTGAGAAACATGGAAGACAGTCTTGAACCTTACTTCTCCGTCACCCCTGAAATGTAAGGCCTGTTATTTCCACCTCTCAATTACTTCTCTTGAAGGCTTAAATTTCTCTCCAACCTAATTGACATGGGTTCCTTGCCTAAGCCAAAGTCTGGTACCTAAACTCCAAGAATATAATCTTTTCTGGTTTCCCTATACTCTTCTGGCCTCTTTCCATTCCACTCTTCAAAATGTAGTTAGTGTTTGCTTAAAAACACGGATCTCACCAGGCCTCTTTTAAAAACCTTCTTTGGCTCCCCATTACCCTTAGGATAAAGTACAGTTTTGTTTTGTCTTTTTGACATGGCTTACAAGACATTCCACATCCTGACCTTCATCTGATACCCTCTACTGCACACGTTACATGTTCCAGCCACACCAGACTTTTTTCAGTTTTGAAAGGAGCCTCCACTTCTTTTGCTGCTGGGTCTCAAACATGCTGTTCCCTCTGCCTAGGACATTCTTTCACAGTACACACTTTTTCCATTTACCTATTAGCTCCCTATTATAGATCTCGGTATAGAGATCAAGATATAGTAGTCTCCTGTGTTCCCAGAGCACTTTCTAATGCACTTATCATTTGTTGCAATATCTTGATTATTATAAAGTATTTGACAAATGTCTATACTGCTTATTAGAATCTATGAACATAAAGGCAAAGACTATGTCAACCCTCTTCACCACTATATCCTCAGCATCTAACGTAGTACCTGGAACATAATGATCCCTCAAAAGTATTTGCTGAATAAAATGCTTTTTCTATATATTTCAGTGATTCATTTTGGAAACAAGGTGAAAGGCATTACAATCCGTATGAGGACTATCAAGAAAAACAACCTAAATTTTAGCACCTACATTTTAGAAAGGCACTTAGCAATACCAATGTAATAACAGCACAAGTCAGAATTCTTTTTGATAAAGAGATATTTTGAAGCACTATGCAAATTCAGATGAGTGAAAAATTACTTCCAACTGGAAGTTGTCATGAAAATGTGATGACATGGCCTTTGTGCTGAATATGAAGTACTGAGATGGGGAGCTGGGACTCTGAATAAATGTCCATGTGACTGAGTCTCATGTGCTAAAGTTTCAAGGTGAGAAAACGAGAGGTATGTTCAGGGAAGGGTGATAAGAGAAATTTATTTAAAGTGCAGGACATATGCAAGAGGGCAGAAAAATGGAAGGGCAAGTTAAAAGTAGACCACGCTGTGGTCTGTCTATTTAAGAAGCTTTAATCATACTCTCCAAGCAAAAGAAAGCCAAAAGAAGTGTTTGCAAAGACGTGATCATCAGAACTATAGTTTTAAAGATTATTCTGACAGCAGTAAATGACTGGAGGGGAGGTAGGAAGACATCTTAGGTCAGGAGACAGAAGAAAAGGGGAGGTTGAAATTAGGAGTAGCTGCAGGGGAGATGTACTTAAGAAAGCTTTGGGGAAAGAATTTTATAGCCAGAGACTGATTTCAAGTTTATTGCACACTTTTTACCCTGAAGCAAAAGTCAGAAGATTTTCATTTTAGATCAAACTTTTACCTGCTCAAAATAAGAAATACAATGGCATGGTTGGTTTTTAATGAAACCTTCCTGGTACATAATAAACTCAAATAATGAGGCACTGACTTGAGGGTAAAAAAGAAATTCAGATAAAACCTTAGAAGAAAATAAAAGGAGACATCGTTAAAACCCCAGAGATGAGGTGGAAATAGGCTGCCTCTCTGAGAAATATATTTAGCTCTTCTAAATTACATGATAATCTCTATAGAATTCCTAAGAGCTTGATCTATTTTAAACTAACATCTTCTTTCTAGCTTCTGAGTACAATATCAAAGCTCGTCAGGTACTCAAGATTTCTGCAGCCATGGTAATAATACAACTCCAGTCACAACTAAGCAGATATAGAAAGGGAAAAAAAATCACTAGACTTTCTAAGAGAAGCATTAAAGGAAGTGGTGCCAATTCCATTAAGAGCTAATTCAACTCATGCTCAGCTCTACTTCTCTAGGATATCAAATATTCTTTGGCTACAGATTCATTAATCACAATAAAAATGTTTTGATCCATCTTTCCTACTCAATCTCACTTATTGAAACAAAAGTAAAACTTATTTACCTCAGTAATCAGTAATGTAAATTACCTCAGTAAGGTAAAGTCACCAAAGAGTCAGGAACTGTGCTAGGCTTTGAGAGTGCAACCAAAAAATAACACCTGATTCTTTAAATCTTCAAGGATATTATCATTTAGGGAAGACAGAAGGAGGACCTGAACTGGTAGTTGGCTGAATGAAGGAAAGGAAGAAGATGAACTAAGTAAATTGGAGATATAAATGTGTAAATAAGTGAGAAAAATAAAAATTTACAGGAGCAATGATAACATATATATATATATATATATATGTATACAGTGTACTGCTGGGGTATCCAATCTTTTGGCTTCCCTGGGCCACATTGGAAGAAGAATTATCTTGGGCCACACATAAAATACACTAACACTAACAATGGCTGATGAGCTAAAGAAAAATCGCAAAAAAAGAAATCTTATATTGTTTTAAGAAAGCCTATGAATGTATATTGGACTGCATTTAAAGCCGTCCTGGGCTGCACATGGCACACGGGCTGCGGGTTTGACAAGCTTGGTGTACAGAGTGGAAAATATATGAGAAAAAAGTTGATTCTATACCATAGAATGCAAGAATGATGTGTTTTAAGAAATCAATAGGAAATAATTTTTTATTCTGGAAAACAATGAGTTAGGACTGGATGGGCTCTGAGGGCACATCTAGCTTCAAAATTCTGTGATAATATTCTAACTTAAACTTTCAATAACTGTTCAGATTTAGCCTACAGGAAATCACTCAGAAGAGAGGAAAACAGTGGAATTTTGTCATATCGTGCAGTTTTCTGGAACAAAGCACAGGATTTTACTAAACTAATTCATGACCACGAGTCTCAACATACTTGGCAATACCAACATACTGTCTTAGTGGTTTGTTTTCTTTTTTTTAAGTCTATTTTACACCTTTTTTCCTATTCAAAATTGTCATCTTCCTTCTCTCTTACTCCTCATTCCCTTCAGCATCACTCCACCCCCACCCCTACCTACCCACACAATACAACCCTATCTACACTTGTTCTTAGGTATTAATCTTGTCCTTTGTTATGATGAATATAATATTCCTATCATATGCAACCTATGTCCTCCAATTCTCTGGATATCATCCTCTCTCACCTTCTCAAGGATTTCATCCTGCTGTTAGTCACATTCTCCCTAGCTTTGTCCATTTCTCCCACTCTGGGTCACCCCAACGGCATACAAGCACATTCTAGAATCTCATGTCTTTAAAACAAGTGAGCTCCTTTGACCCCATGTTTTGTTTCAATTATTGTCATTTTTACTTTCACCTTATTAAAAAAACTTATTGAAAGAGTAATCTATATTTATCATCACCCCTTCCTCATTTCCCTGTTCTCTTCTAAGCTTTCTCCAACCAAAATTTTCGGCCACCACTTGACTAAGATTGTTTTTTTTCTAGGTCGCCAATTACTTTCTTGTTTTCAAATCATAGGGATGTGGCTCTACTTGTAATGTACTTGACCTTTCAGTGGCATGAAGCACAGCTTGCTGGTCATTCATAAAATACCTTCTTCTCTTAGCTTCCATAATACCACACTCATACTGCACTCATACTACCTGTTCTTATTAGTGTAACTTTTTAATTCCACCACCTTGGCTAAACTTCTACATGTTTGAATGTTCCAGAGCTTAATCCTGGGCCCACACCTCTTCTAATTTATAACCTCTCCCCCTTTGCCTCACACTGCACATCTAATCCACCAGCTAGTTTAGCTTTCTCAACATATATATATATATATGTATTGAAGTTATATATATATATATATATATATATATATATAACTTCTCTCTATATATATATGTATATATAAAATCCATTCACTGCTTTCCATTTTTACTAATTTCATCTCAATGCACCCAGCCACTATTTTTTTGCCTGGACAACTATAATAGCCTCCTAAATGGCTTCTTTACTTTCCCTTTTGCTGCCTTCCTTAATCCAGACTCCACACAGTAGCCAGAGAATTTCATTTAAAAATGCATATCAGATCGTGTCACTCTCCCGTTTAAATCCTCATTGACTTCCACTGCAGTTAGAATAAAATCCAAAATCATTCCCTTGGCTTATGAAGCCCTACATTTCTTCTCACCCTGGCTATTTTTCTGGTCTTATCTCTTACTTCACGCTACCTCAATCCCACTCTACCTGATGGCCATGCTGTTTTCTTTCTCTTCCCAGAATCTATTATGCTTGGTCATGTTTTCTTGGCCTAGAATGCCATCTCTCCTTCCCTGCCCCAGTGTTTGAATAGCTGGCTCCTTTTTGTCCTTCTGATATCAGGATGTCAAAGATACCTTAGGGCATATACTAAACTCCCAGGCCAAAGTAACCAAGTCAATCCTCATTACATCTTTATATGATCCACTGCGTCATACTAGTCACATACTGGTCAAGTTCATTTGTTGGAATGCAGACTCTATGTAGTAAAGATAACGTCTGCCTAGTGATCACTACTATATGCTAGGAATCAATAACAGCACCTGGAACCTACCAGGTTCCACTTAGTAAAGATTTAATGATGAAAAAAATGCAAGTTTTATAATACAAATATATAAAATTACGAAAACAATTTTATAACAATCATTTGATAGTCTTTAAAAGACTACCCAAAGTTTAAAATATAATTTTGTAATTATAGATACACTTATAAACAACGAAGTTTTATAAAATTAATCATTTGATATTTTTAAAAAGGCTACCCAAAGGAATTTAAAATCAGAGAATGTTGTTGAAACTGAACACCAACTGTATCTACATTTATTTCTAATAGACTTCTCAGAGTCCACTGATACCCATAACAAAGCACTTAGTGCCTCAAGGAAACTATAGAAAGTAGTCAGAAGAAACCACAGGCCAGCTATAGTCTGAGAGTGTTTTCTATTGCGATTGGCCATTCTGGCATAAAAATCTTGATGAGTGGCTCATTATCATCATTTCTGCTCCCAACCACTCTCCCAGCATCACACCACTGTAGCGACTATGCCCCATCTCCTCAGAATGCAACACATTGTCATAAAGAACATAAAGTCTCAAGTAATCTGTGAATTCATAGCTGAAATATACTGAATATGTATATACTTCCCAGCTCTTACCTATTACACTAGCTTTTATTCCCACCTGTCTTCTTCATTTTCTTTTTCCAAACTTTTCAAGGATTTGACATGAACAGACCACAGGTTGCTGTATTATAGGATACAGACATACACACACACACGCAATGCACACACACACCACAATCCCATAGAGATGCAAAAATAAATGCAAGGATACAGTTCAAAGCCACCATTCAGACATGCAAGAACACAACACATACACCTTACAGATGGAAGATATGGACAACTAGATTATGGAATTAATTACCTTCCAGGATCTAATATCGACAGTTGCAGAAAGAACTGCTTTACATGCAGCTAATTGAAATAAACAGGAAATGGAAATACTAGTCATCAAATAGGAAGATAATTTTTGAATAAGACTATCTTATATATCTGGCTTGGATAAATTTCAGCCTGTGGATAGGAGCTTCTGGACAGTTATTACACCAATCTGTATCTGCACTCAGTTCAGCTAGTAGGGCTGCAGCTGACTTTATCTTCCTGTAAAGACTCAATTTCAGGTATAGGGCCCTAGAACACAGTATGAGAAGATACTCTTTCCTTCATCTATAGATACCTAGAAAATAGGACTATTTTCTACATTTTGGCTGTTAAGAATGGCTTTATTTTAAAAGTCTTCCTCCAGAATATATGCCTGGATGGCCAGCCAGTCACATAATAAGTGAAATTAAATTTTCCAAAAACATGTTATGATTTCTAAGAAACAATGTGGCAGTGGAATTAAAATGGCTAATTTGGAACCAAGGATGTTACTTATTGAGATAGAAAAGGTCCTTCATATATTAACTTAGAAGGACATTAACTGTTGTCATTGTAGAAAATAAACTTATGTACCACCAGCAGTTTAATTTTCAAATGCAAAAACGGATAAGATGGGTATTATTTTTAGGAAAGTTCAGACACAACTAAGGGTAATTCTAGCCAAATAATCTGAACAGTAAATATACTGATATCTCAGAATGTATTAATAAAAATGAAAAGTTGTTATAAATAGATACTATTATCACTTGCCAAAATGATGTGTTTGACACACAAATACATTGATTTCAATAACCAAGAGTAGATAATTCCAGCTACCTACTGTGTTTCAACAAAAGGACTTTAAAAGTAAACTTATTTAATAGACACAACACAAATATGTACTGTGTGACCATATTAAAGGGTGCCCAGTTGTTGCCTTTTTTGCCAGGATTTCATTAATGTTTTTATTTTTCTGATTATTTGTTTGTTTTGAGACGGAGTCTCGCTCTGTCACCTAGGCTACAGTGCAGTGCCATGATCTTGGCTCACTGCAACCTCCGCCTCCCAGGTTCAAGTGATTCTCCTGCCTCAGCCTACTGAGTAGCTGAGACTACAGGCACGTGCCACCATGCCCAACTAATTTTTGTATTTTTAGTAGAGACAGGGTTTTGCCATGTTGGCCAGGCTGGTCTCAAACTCCTGACCTCAGGTGTTCCAACCCCCTCGGCCTCCCAAATTGCTGGGATTACAGGCATGAGCCACCACTCCCAGCCTCTGATTCTTTTTTTACCTCGCCCTCCTAAAACCTCCCCTGTTCCACATCCACTCAGAACATCTACTATCATGTAAATATTCCAATATATAACTGCCAGCACTTTTGTTAAAAAAGATTGTTGATTATTCTCAGAATTTCAAATTTCTTTGTAAATGGTTTTCTCTCAGAGTTACTCAGTGTTAGTATCCCTGATTTCCATGACAGAACATCGAGACAGAGGAGACGGTGGCAGCAACACCACTGCCATGGCTGCCAGTGAGTCTGTGACAATATAAGGACCAAAGCTTTAAAATGTGACTCTAGACGCATGCCTATCAATAACTAAATGCATTAATAGTGATAGATTAGGTCTCCACTTTTGATATCATGTGTAATGCACCATGCTTAATTTTCCCCTTTTCTTTTACTATGTAGTTTTACGAGCCAATTAGTGGACTTTGAGGATTTTTGTAAAAGACTGACAATAAAAATTGATTGCAGAGTGCTTTTAGAGGCTTTGATAATAACTGCCCTGAAGAGCAAAACAGTTATACTCCCACGTTCTTTCATAATGTTTCCCAGTGGAATACATAGTCCAGGAAAAGTATACATGTAGCATAAAACCGATTCCTGAGTTTTTAATGTAGTTTAAGAATATCGTTTCTTCACGTGGACACAGGGAGGGGAACATCACATACCGGGGCCTATCGAGGGGTTGGGGGCAAGGGGAGTGAGAGCATTAGGACAAATGCCTAATGCATGTGGGGCTTAAAACCTAGATGACGGGTTGATAGGAGCAGCAAACCACCATGGCACATGTATACCTATGTAACAAACCTGCACGTTCTGCACATGTATCCCAGAACTTAAAGTAAAATTTAAAAAAAGGAGTATAGTTTCTTACACAAGTTAAAGAACCAGTAATCACCTTGAAGCATTATTACAATGGAAGCTATCAAAAACAATGTGACTATTGGCAATCATTCTAATTAACCTAAAACTTGTGTATCTAATTATTGATACACAGATGGAAATCTAACTGTTAATTTAAAACAGACTAAAAATATAAGTAATTAGAAATAAAAGTAAAACTCCCACTGATTTCTGGAAGATTGACCTGCATAATTATTCAAGAGTGAAGAATAATTTTATGTTTATAAAATATTTGCTTACTATATAGGTTTATATAATTTATTAACCATTATAATATACATGATTACATAACTAATTTGTTTCTCCATATGTTAATCAATTCTAATTAGTAGCTTTTTAGGGCTAATGTACTTTTTATGTAGGTCTTTGGATACTAACAGAAATAAAACTTTACTAAATCCTTTGATTTGATGAAGAAAAAAGTAAGACAATCTTTTTGAAAAGCTAATATTCAACAAATACCAGTGTGTGTCTAGTTTTTAGAAAATCAAGGTTCAATTCTAATTCTTCCATTTATTTGTTTGTCTTACTTTCTGTACTGAAGAACAGTGATAATACATTACAGCTTTCTACAAGTCATAGTTAAACAGTAAAGTTAACTGTGAGAAATGAACTGCACAAAACAAAGACCAGGTTTTCTGCTTTTTTTTCTAAGTAATGTTGGTCTCTTCAATCCATGAGGTCTGCACCCAAGACATCAGAGAACTGCCAGCTTCCAATCACTGTTCAGGAGCCTGGTCCAGAACCAATTGACCTGATCTATATGCTTCATCCCAACCAGCTTCTGACATTTGTGTTACTGGTGAAATTTGTCATTCTTCCATTTACAGTCTAACATTGCTATTCTGCCCCATATTCTACCCTACTTTCTTAGCTATGTTGTTGACTGTTGCTTCTGGCTTGAGGATGTATTTTTCTTCTGTTTATATTGCTTTATCTTTCTCTGAGTAATACATTTAGCTCAACTTCCTGTGGGTGGCACTCCTGCCTGAGTCTCCCCAGACAGAGAACAAGATCCAGTCACTGCTTCTCTTCTGTCTGCCAAAGGTGCCCTGCAGGATCAACTTCACCCACAGGTGAAGGCTGTAATGTGGTGTGATTTGAAGGGCATCAGGCCTGCCAGCCAAAACTTCCCTGGCAGTCTACCTGAAATTCCAGCCAAAGATCATTAGTGTTGCTTCTTAAAATAACTTTGTTATTTTGAATCTGAATACTTTCAGCCCCTATTCCTACCTTTTCCTACTGAAATGATTATTTGTACATGATTACTGAAAACTCAAAGTTTCTTAAGATTTCAATAATAGTGATAGCAGAACAGACAGCGCTTGATAAGCAGGATTTTTGTGTTTCTTGTAATCTGTTTATATCCCCTTGACTCTGCTTTAGTATTTAAGAGAAAAAAAAAAGTATTTTAAGAAGTTGGCCTTCTCACTAAGGGCAAGGGATTGTACAAGCACAGGGGGATGGTAATAGAAGTGATGGCAACTGTAACCAAAATGAGAAAAATCCAAGAAGACACATACAGGAAAGTATCAAGACTGAGTCCCACCAGATGATTCTGCTGCCTAAAACCTGGGATGTTGTGAATTGTTGTGGTTGTTGTTGTTGCTGTTGTTGCTGTTTTGTTGCACTGATTGGGAAGCCTTTTATTTACCCAAGGAGCAAGGATATGCATTTAGCAGCTCGGCTGCAGATGTTCCTCTCCCCAAGCCCTTTTACACAGGTGTATAAATGGGAACCTTTTATTGCAAAAGGATTTCCAGAGTTTTCAAGGACAGAACCGAGGGCTTACTGGGGCCAGGGTAACCCCATACCAGTCTCCCTATTGGTCAGTCACAATTGCCCCAGCCCACAATGACCCTGGGTGCTAGTCCTGGGTACTGACTTTCACAGTGGCTCTGCACTTCCCCATCTCCTTGGGTATCAGGCCCAGGCAGGGCACCTGTCCTTCCACTTTGCAGGTACAATCCTTCAGGCAGTACTTTCCACGGCCAAAGGGGGCTGGGTGAGACAGCTGCTTTTTCTCCTTCTCCTCTTTCTTGGGGGTTTCCTCATTCTTCCCCAACATTTTTCGATGGACTCAATGACCTCCTTATTATTCTTGGTCTCCACATCCAACGGGACTTGCTTCCCAGAATCTAAGTATTGGTGGGTGTGGAGACAGGAAGGATGATGGCATCCTGTCCTTAAACATCATGATCTGCACTCATGGGATTTTGTATTGGATCTAAGATATGTTGAAAACGCAAATTTCCTGGTGCCCTCACCCAGCTCCCCATGTGTTTTGTAATTCACTGTCATGACCTTCGCCAAGTCTTTGAACACCACCTCCCCCTGGCTCAGGTACTGCAGGGTGTGGCGATGGGGGAGCGGCCCTTCATGGGCATGGGGGCAGTGGCGGTGGTGGGCGGGGGGACATGTGGCCACAGGCCCAGCAGAGGAGAGAAGCCAAAGAGCACCCACCACGGCCTGGAGCAGACCTCACACCGCATCTCCCCTGAATTTTTGTTTCATTGTGGAGGTTGTTTTCTTTATAAATGCCCTCTGAGCAAGGGTGGGTTTTAACAAAATTCAGTCCTTTGCTGTCTAGAAGAAAAAAAAATGAATTAATAAATGGATCATCAAAGATACATTTGATTAATTAAGCTAATTACAACAGCACAGCACTTCTTAGAACAAATGGAGACCTATCCATGTTGATTTGGGGTAGGGAGAAATGAGAAGAATAGAAGGATGGCCGGGTGTGGTGGCTCACGCTTGTAATGCAGCACTTTGGGAGGCTGAGGTTGGAGGATTGGTTGAGCCCAGGAGTTCAAGACCAGCCTGGGCAACATAGTGAGACCACCTCCACCATCTCCATTCTAAAGTAAATTTTTTAAATTAGCCAGGAGTCACTATTCACAATAGCAAAGACTTGGAACCAACCCAAATGTCCAACAATGGTAGACTGGATTAAGAAAATGAGGCACATATACACCATGGAACACTATGCAGCCATAAAAAGGATGATTTCATGTCCTTTACAGGGACATGGATGAAGCTGGAAACCATCATTCTGAGCAAACTATCGCAAGGACAGAAAACCAAACACCGCATGTTCTCACTCATAGGTGGGAATTGAACAATGAGAACACCTGGACACAGGGTGGGGAACATCACACATCGGGGCCTGAAGTGGGGTGGGGGGAGGGGGGAGGGATAGCATTAGGAGATATACCTAATGTAAATGACAAGTAAATGGGTGCAGCACACCAACATGGCACATGTATACATATGTAACAAACCTGCATGTTGTGCACATGTACCCTAGAACTTAAAGTATAATAAAAAAATAAAAATAGAAAATTAGCCAGTAGTAGTGGCATACGCTGTAGTCTCAGCTACTTGGGAGGCTGAGGTGGGAGGATCACTTGAGCCTGGACAGTTGAGGCTGTAGTGAATGGTGATTATGCCACTGCACTCTAGCCTGAGTGACAGAGTGAGACCTGTCTCAAAAAAAAAAAAAAGTGGTGGGGCAGGGGGGCAGGACTACTTCTCTCCATCTCCCACTGTGAGGAAGCATATTGACCCTGAGCAGGGCTGAAACATCCATAACTAGGGCCAAAGGACAGTTTCTAAAATGGCTTAGTTTTGTCTCCAAAACTAAGAACTTTAGCCAACTACTACTGGGCTACAACCACATTATTTTCTATGTGCATTTGGTCATTTTTTTCTTGAAAGAGAGAAGAAAAATAGAAGAGCTAATGGAATAAAATCTAATAGTCTTTCAAGAATAGGAAAGTATCTTATATTCCTTATAGTCAGATTGTAAAAAATTTCCAGCCATTTTAGAATTGTGACACTCTATCATAAGCTGCTCAGTTTCACAACTCAACTGGTGACCTTGCTATAAGGCTGTATATACAAACACAATTTTCATTTAAAATGACTTTCAATTTAGTTTAGCACATTTACCAGTATTTATTAGTGCCACTTAAGGATACAGGGGACATCTCAGTGAGTAAGGATTGTACTATGGAATTTGCAAATATGAGTAAAAATTCTGATGGTGGGGCGGGGAAGGTACTCTAACAGTCAAATGTGTTAACCTCTGCTCTCTGAATTGTCGCAGAATAATCAATCAGGTTTACAGCTTAAATTTCATGTTTTATTTTACAGATGAGAAAACTGAGATTCAATAAGGCTAGACATATAGACAGTACCCTGCACATGGTATGTGTTTTAAAATATCAGTTGAGTGAAGGGAATTTTATCTAAGGCCAGAGAGTGTGGCAGAGCCAGTGATGGAAGCCAGAAGGAGTCCTGATTTCTGGTAAGTTGTTTTTTCAGTACTCATTCTCACATTTCCTCTAGCCATATTCAGCAACACAGTAAGTAAGACATAATCTGAGTCATGTAGGTCCACAATACAATACATGAAGAGAGGAGGGAAAACAAAAATAAAGGCAATAAAGAACGTACTGTCAATCACAAAAATATGACTCTGTGCACTTCTGGTTAAGGGATCTGTAGTGCCAGTTCTTTTAAGAAGCATAACAGAATGTCCTTGCCTGATGC
This sequence comes from Homo sapiens, assembly GCF_000001405.40. Lineage (NCBI taxonomy): Eukaryota > Metazoa > Chordata > Mammalia > Primates > Hominidae > Homo > Homo sapiens. The sequence continues at coordinate 80,319,369 of NC_000004.12, read as the reverse complement.
TCCATGGGCACAAGATCCTTGCAAACAGAAAGTCGTTTTTACCTTCTGCCAAATGGGGTCAGAAGAAGTGTTTTAGCCACTTTAGTCCAAATGCACACACACACACACACACACACACACACACACACACACAAAGATATTCAAGTATATCCAAGTGTACCTAAAACCCCTCTCCTCTAAATAATTATTAAGCAAAAATCTAGTCTACTGTAACTGTCCAGGTATCTCAGCAAATAGCCTGCACTGCTTTTATTTTACAGCATCAAGTATTTTATGTAAATACAGTAGTTAATTGAGACAAATGACTGGATTCAGTGAATCTTTTATTAACAGTCCCTTGTTTTTTTTAAAAAAAAAAAAAATAATGAAACTACAGATCTGCTGAAAGCATGGAGTCATTTCCTACCAAACCTATGTTCCAAACTTAATTTCATCTGCTTGATACTTTGACATTTTAGGTCTGGAAAAGCACAGGGTGAAAGATGGCAAAGAACAGGGAAATTTTAGTTTAGAAGTGCAACAGCTCACTTAGAGCAGAGCTTTAGGAAAGCAGAATCCAAAACCACTGTGACTAATACACTTTTCAAATTTATTAAGTAGAAAGATGCACAGGCAAAAGAGAGACAAGAAGCAAACAGAATCGGCTCTTACAGCAGCAATTCAGGATTCTGGTGCAGTGCCCTAAGATCATTTTCATAGCTGGGTAAGAATGATATGTTGTAAATGTATAACTCATAGGTAAAATAATACTTTCTGAAAATAGTATTTTCTGCTGAGATGTCAACAACAACAAAAATGGATATGGGGTTACACCAACTGTTTCTCAGGATAGGGTGCACCTGTTTTAAAAGGAAAAATGTCTAAAGAATTTGTTCTCCTATTTCATATCTCTTGACCTTTTCAACCATTAACTTCACAATGCTAATAAGTCACAAACCAAGTTTAAATGAATCTATTTTGGAAGTGCACTGGACATTTGCTCATCCATACCAAATAAAGTCCTTTTCAAAAAAAAAAAAAAAAACCAGCCTAAAAATTTAAGGTTATTTTGCACACATAAAACTGAAAAACCCATGTGGAGAGGGCTGAATACTTAATACCAAAATTGTATAACTGTTGCCTCAGAAGTAATACTGTTTTTGGCAAAAGCTTCATTGAAATATAACTCACAATACCACACAATTCGCAAATTTACAGTCTATAATTCAATAGTTTTTAGTACATTCACAGAGTTGTCCACCCAATTAACATAATCAGTTTTAGAACATTTTAGCATCCCCCAAAGAAACCCTGTACTCCAGTTTTCACCTCCCAAAACACCCGAACTCCCACCCCCAGCCCCAGGCAACCACAAATCTACATTCCATCTCTACAGATTTTCCTATCTTGAACATTTTATATAAATAGAATCATGTAACATGTGTTTTTTTGGACTGAATTGTTTCTCTTAATATAATATTTTAACCAACTTGTAGCAAGTATCCGTACTTCATACCTATTACTGGTTGAAAATGTCCCATTATATAGATATACCACATTTTGTTTATCCATTCATCAGCTGATAATCATTTGGGTTGATTCCATCTCTTGGCTATTATGAATAATGCTGCTATAATATCAATGTACACATTTTTGCGTGGACATATGTTTTCATTTTTCTTGGGTATATACCTAGGAGTGTAACTGACGGGTCAAATGATAGCTCCATGTATACATTTTTGAGGAACCACCACACTGCTTTCCAAACTAGTTGCACTATTTTATATTCCTACCAGCAGTTTAGAAGGGTTCCAACATTTTCACATCTTGTTAACACTTGTTATTCTCAGACTTTTGATTATAACCAACCAAGTGAATGTGAAGCGGCATCTCATCGTGGTTTTGATTTGCATTTTCCTGATGACTAAAAATATTAAACATTTCTTCATGTGCCTTTTGGCCATTTGTGTATCTTTGTTGAAAAAATGTCCCTTCATATTCTTTAACCATTTTTCAACTGGGTTGTCTTTTTATTATTGAATTGTACAAGTTATTTCCATATTCTTGATATGATCTCCCTATCAGATATGTTTTGCAAATAATTTCTGTCATTCTGAGGGTTGTCTTTTCACTTTTTTGATAATAACATTTGAAGCACAAAGGGTTTTAATTTTGATAATCCAATTAATGTATCTTTTTTCTTTTGATGTTCATACTTTTGTAATGCATCTAGAAAACCATTGCCAAATCCAAGGTCATGAAAATTTATCCTTATGTTTTCTTCTAAGAGTTTTATAGTTTTAGCATTCATATTTAATTATTTGATGCACTTCAAGTTGATTTTCATATGGGGTATGAGGTAGTAGTCCAACTTTATTCTTTTTCCTGTGACTATCCGGTTGTCTCAGCACAATTTATTGAACAAACTCTTCTTTCCTCATTGAATGGTCTTAGCACCCTCAGTGAAAATCAATTGACCACAAATATATGGGTTTATTTCTGGACTCTCGATGCTATTCTATGGATCTACATGCATATTCTTACGCCAATATTGTCTTGATTACTATTGCTTCATAGTAAATTTTGAAATTGGAAAGTGCAACTCCTCCCACTTTCTTCTTTTTTAAAATTACTTTGGCTATTCTAGGTCCTTTGAGTTTCCGTATGCATTGTAGGATCCACAAAGAAGCCAGCTGGGATTACGATAGGGATTGCGTTGAATCTATAAATCAATTTGGGGAATAGTGCCATCTTAACAATATTAAGTCTTCCAATCCATGAATACAGAATATATTTCTATGTACTTAGATTTTTAATTGCTTTCAATAATGTTCTATAGTTTTCAGAGTATTAGTGTCACACTTCTTTTGTTAAATTTATTCCTCAGAATTTTATTCTTTCTGAGGTTATTGTAAATGAAATTGTTTACTAAGAATTTTATTCCTTTTGAGGTTATTGTAAATGAAATTGTTTACTCTATTTCATTTTTGGACTGTTTATTGCAAATGTGGAAATATTATTGATTTTTACATATTGATTTGTATGTCATGATCTAGCTGAGGTTGTTAGTCACAGATTTTTAGTGGATTATTTAGAATTTTCTATATATATATATATAGAAAACTATGTCATCTCAAATAGAGATAGTTTTATTTCTTAATAATGCTTTTTTAAAATAATTATTTAAAATGTTTTGGCCTTAAGTCAAACAGTTGCAGGTACTATATTCAGATGTAAGAACTTAGTTATCTGGATTTGTCATCTGGTGAAAATCTAGTTTTCACTAATACAGTCATATGTTGCTTAATGACAAGGATACATTTTGAGAAATGCATTGTTAGGTGGTTTTGTCATTGAGCAAACATCATAGAGTGTACTTACACAAACCTAGATAGTATAGCCTCCTACACACCTAGACTCTATGGTATAGCCTATTGCTCCTAGGCTACAAACCTGTACATGTTACTGTACTGAATACTGTAGGCAATTGTAACACAATGGTAAGTATTTTTGTATCTAAACATATCTAAACATTAAAAAAGTTTAGTACAAATATTGTATTATAATCTTATGGGGCCACCATTGTATATGTGATCCATCATTGTCTGAAACGTTGCTATGAAGTGCATGATGTATATGATTATCTCTAATAAAACATTTTTTCTTCTTTTTGTTTTCTGTTCTTTAAAATAAATTGTTTGGACAATTGTTTCCTTTGACTACTATACTTCTACATAGTAAAACTCTTACTTTCCTGCTAAAATAAAGCTGTTGTTACTATTTATTCTGAGAAGATTATATTACCTAACCAATCACAGGACCAGTAGTCTTTGCTTCCATAAAATTAGACAAGTTTCTCTATAACATGATTTTACATAGCAATCAAAAGTATAGAAAACTGTTAGTCTCATCACTGAGAGTAAGTGGCAATAAGTTTGCAGCAATATCAATAACACAACAGAACATCTGTCTGCAAAAGGCAAATTAAATTATTAATGTAGGTATCCCCCACATCATAAAATGTAAATACTTACCATGTATGGCTACTTTCTCCCTTCTACATAGAAATCTGCTTCTGCAATCACTTTGCTACAGATTGGGTTAAAAAATAAAAACTGCCCACATTTGGCACAAAGCTGATACCAAAGTAATAAAAATTAGTCAATAATTATATAACTGGTTCTGGGAACACTACGAAACTTTTAGCAAGTCTGTTTCTGTCCAAAATCCATGTATTATCCACATATGGTTGTATTTGTTAGAATTATGTTTCTGAGGCACCAATTCAATAGTTCAGCTGATAGGTTAGTGTTTTACCACAGAGGGGACTGAGTTTGGCGACAACCTCTTGATCCCAGGCTGTGACCTCCAGAACTCAGGACATGTTACAAGGAGTATGACCTTGAAGTTTTTCCACAAAAGTATTGTCTCTTTTAAGAGGTTTAATACATCAGGAGACAGAAACACTGACAAAGAAAGAGACTGAGAGATTAAAAGAGACAAAGACGCTACACTTACAGTATTGTTAAACTCTTTCACCAGAAGGAGAAGATTAATCTGTAATACAGCGTCAGCTCTGTTCTTAGATATTTTGCATTATGTGCTTCTATAAAGGAAATATATGTACTCACAAGGAAGCTTGAAGCAATTAGTCTCCTAGCCTGGCAGGTTGTATTTCATATTTTTAGCAATTACCTACTCATACATTTTTTTCAAGTCAAGCTTTAACTGTTATAAAAACAGTTATCAAATGTACATTAAAATTTGGCAGAGTTGATAGCCTAAGTTATCATTAATTCATAATAAAGCAAACCACAAGAATGTTTATTTACAAGTGACTTATCTGAACATGCCCCTATAAATGGTATTTAAATCCTGTTGATTTTAATCTCAATGAAGCACTGAAGCAACCATATTAGTAAAGAGGAAGGAAAATCAATCTAGACTTGATCCCAGAGCCTTAGGTATTCACCAGGATGATGTAGATTTAAATCTTGTATCTGCCCTTCTGTGGCTATATCATACTGGGAAAATTACAAAATCTCTCCTAAGCCTGTTCTCTTATTTATAAACTGGGAGTAATAGATGTACCTAGCTTATCAGGTGTTTTAGAGAGTTAAATGAGAAAATGCACATAGAAAAATTTATCACAGTACTTGGAACATAGTAAGTTCTCAAATGGACTTTGAATTTTGCTCCTGTCCTTAGCCTACTTACCTAAAAATATACACTAATAATTTACATGTATTATACACATTAATTTTAATTATAATTGAGACCTAATAGGAATATACTATAAATTCCTCATTTATAACATTCATTTATAATGCTTACTATTGATATTAATGAAATACTTTAGATTTAGTGTATAAAATATACACACATATTTGTGTATATACGATTTTTAAACTTCTCTACCTTAGCATTCAGTTTATTACCTCCTTTACTTCCAAGAAGGCAGTACTCTCTGGATGGAAGATAAAAAGATGACAACCATAGTCCGCACTGAACCATATATCCACATTAATAGCTGCTATTATGTGTAGGCTGCGTCCTTTTCAGAGGTACTAAGCACACAGTAGACGAGATACGACAATTCCTATGACTACGACAATCACCTAGACAGCTTAACACAGTACTTAGAATATAGTAGGATCTCAAAAAGTGTCAGTGAACAAGAATTACATCTCCTGATGAACGATAGAAGATAAAGTAGATTAAAATGTTGACTATTGCAAGAAAAATGCCCCATCAGGTATGCTATAAACCAGTATAAAATATTTTACACTTTTTTTGTATGTATTGCTGATAATTATGTATTGATACAGTGGTACTTATATATAACTTTTAAATGAATATAAAAAACTCAGGTCGTGGGCTCAAACAATTTTTTACTAATAAAGTTGATTTAAAAGGATACAGAGACTTGGGACTAGAGTTGTATGTGCTAAAATAGTCCTCATCCATTCACCTACCCATCTATCTCACTATTAATCCATCCATCTTTTTTTAGCTTGAAACTTCTCTCACCCCAAATTTTTGTTGTTTACATCCAGATATGATAGAATACAGGAGATATGACTAAATATAATAAAATATTTAGTGAACATAAAGGAGATTGTGAGAAGTCTCTTAGGCATCCAATTCCCCAAGCCTCTTAGCTGCCACACAAATTATGTCACCAAAGTAACTCTACTTGACAAACTTTTATGTATTTGAAATACTCCACAACTCATAGTTGGAGAACATGTCTTGATATATAGTTTGTATCTCTCTTGCAGAATTAAAGCAATATCCTTCTTACTAAGCCCTCAACAGGAGTTTTTGTTCCTTAGTTTTTGGTTTGGTTGTTTAGTTTTCATAAAAGGACTGCAGCTGCCTCTGTTTGTGAGTAGTTCCACTACCTTCATTCATCCACTTAGGATATTTCTTCATTACCAATTTTCTGTTATAGATTGTCCTCTAGAAAAGTGGTCCTCCTATATGAATATAAAATGTCAATATATTATATATATAATACATGTTATATATAGCATGTGTGTAATAAATACACATGAGATGGAAACTGAAAAAGATGGGGTAAAATTCAATTTCCATACTTTAAATAATTGCTACTTATCAATAGTTGATATAATTTTGCTCTCTAATGCTATTAATATTTTATTGAGACCAATATGATTGGATGTTTTATTTTTTTAAAAGATTTGGTCTAACAATTTGTAGTATAACTATTGAAAGCTGTTTCTAAATTCAGTATGTTTCAATATATTGTTTTAAATGGCTGTTATAACCAAAAACGATTCCTTACAAACTACATAGATCCAAATAAGAGAGGTATAATGTAGGCTCTACTTACTGAATTAAAATACCATTTTAAGTCCCATTTGCTAATTACATAAAGAATTTTTGTTGAAATTAAATGAAATTAAATAAATGTCCATGTTCCCTGGTAACAATCAGTTGTCATGCTAATTAGAAGGTATTGTGCATCTTTATCTAGCAGAAGTCTTATTTCCTCTGGTCCAATACTTCCTGGTTCATCCTCTAGTACTCGGTCATGTGACTACCTCCAAGGCCATGCTTTGGTTAAAGGGAAGATGGTTTTGCTAAGGAGGAAGCAAATATGTGTGTGTGTGTGTGTGTGTGTGTGTGTGTGTATACACATGTGAATCAAAGTTTGTCAAAATCATGTAAATAAAAATTGGCATTTATTGATTTACCTGTGCCTCAACAAAAATAAGCCTACATGAAACTTTCAAATGAGATCTTCTGGCTTAATAGTTGAAGATACATTAGAGTAGGAGAGACAGAAGAAAGAAACGAAGGAGAGAGAGATATGATAAAAGAAAAATATCTTTTAGGGTACAGCAGAAGGAATATTTACAACATTAAATGTAAGAAGGATAAAGTACAAGGTAATAAAGACAGAGGCCGTATCTATCTCCTGCCTAAGTACTCCATTTAGAATCCGATCCTTGCATGATTTCCAAACCCAGCAGTTGAAACCAACCATGATGGGTGGAGCATAATAATTGTGTGATACGTACGCTTCATATGGTACCTTTCAGAATCACATACTGTCTCAACCATCATTTGTGAGAGGAAAGGAATGTGCTGCATCCAATCCCTTCTCAGTCTTAAGTTTATAAATTGGCTTCATAATAAGAAAGAATCACAAAATCAAATGGAAGCACATCTAGCAGTAGTGTAAAAAAAAAAAAATGCCGCCTGAGACGCTTCTTACTTTCTATGGACAATTCTGTTTCTTTCATGAAAACCTGATTTTACAGGTAACTTAGTGGGTTGCTCCTGGTGGCCTTTGTGACTTTACAGTTGGATGAGATAACATGGAGTCTCTTAGTTCGCAGTATGAACATAATTCTGCCAATTTCTGCATTTCCCTTAGACCATCTGTCTTATTTACCAAAAAGCAAAAGTTTAACTGTAATAAATGAAAAAGCCAAAGGACTAAGACTTGGGGATTGAGAGCTATGATGCAATGGACTATGCGGTCTCTTAATAATACATAAATGTACAAATAGCCACTTTCCATGAACCGAAACTATGAGCAAAGCTGTGATTTCTGAGCTGGGAGGAAACTTATTGAGCAAGACAGATAAGGAAACAGGTGCAGAACATTTATGTTATTTGACTTATTGTGAAGCTGTTTTTTTATTTTGTTTTGTTTTGTTGGTTTCTGGGTTTTTTTTTTTTTTTTTTTGAGACAGGGTCTTGCTCCATCATGTAGGCTGTAGTGCAGTGGCACAAACGTGGCTCACTGTAGCCTCAACCTTCAGGGCTCATGTGATCCTCCCACCTCAGCCTCCTGAGTAGCTGGGACTACAGGTGTGCATCACCATACCTGGCTAATTTTTTTCTTTAATTTTGTAGAGAGATGGGAGTCTTGCCATGTTGCCCAGGCTAGTCTTGAATTCCTAGCTCAAGCAATCCTCCCCCCTCAGCCTCCCAAAGTGCTGAGATTATGGGTGTGAGCCACCATGTCTGGCCATTATGGAGCTTGTTAATGGCAAGGCAGGTGCCACAGTGCAGATTGTCACACTCTGAAACCAAAGTTCTTTCCATAAACTTTTTTATTTTCCCCTCAGAAAATAGTTGCAAAGGGGGTGGTGAGCTTGATTTAAGGGTAGACATTTCTAATGCCCAGGAGCCCTAGAAAGGCTGCATAACAGCCTTTCATATTAGGAACAGCCTGTTCATACTAGGAACAATGACAGTGGTTTGCATTCTGTAGAGTCTCCTCATTGGGACATGAGCTTTAATAACTCAGCTAAATGGTAGGTGTTATTATCTAGTATGTAATTAAATCATGCTTAAAGGAAATATTACTAACTTCCTCTCACAATATTAAGTTTCGCCATGTTCCCATCCTCAATCTCTAGCACAGTAACTCACAACTCAGACCTTCACATTAGAGTCAGCTGAAGAATTCAAAAATACGGAAACAAGGGGCACCACCTTACGACAATGGAATAAGAATTGCTAGGAGGTAGCCTGGAAAAGTATTTTATTGTTATTACTATTATTGTAAAAAACAGAAAAACATTTCCTTTTAGGTGCCCCAATGATTTTAATGTACGATCAGGGCTGAGAATCCCCACACTCCAGAGAAGAGCTATGGGACCTTTCTTCTTGAGCATCTGCTAGTTTTAACTGTCCTTACAAAAGACTCTGCTAGAGATGGTAGACCAGACTCACAGCTCAAATCTTAGGTCAATGCACTTTCTAATCATTTTGTTACTTTATTTAGAAAACTCGCTCTAAGACCATGTTCTCAAACTTTCCTGCTCATCAGAATCAACTGGAGAAATTGCTGAAACAGATTTCTGTGCCGCATGCTCGAAGTTCAGAAGATCTGGGGTGAGACCAGAGAATTTGCATTTCTAAGACCCCAAGTAATGCTGTTGCTGCTGGTCCTGGGATCACACTTTAAGAACCCTTAGCAGTTGATAAAACCCAACTGGATTCCTTCCTCTATAATGATTTTTTTCTGTGGAAGAGAAAATTCTTTGATAATTCACTCTACCAAGTCCCTGACTACTTCCCTTCTCATCAGTGACTCACGGCTAGCAAATGTACTGGTCTCTCAATAGCATGAGTAACCTTCTAGCAGATTTTGCCAGCAAGACTCTGCCATTTGCTTTTAGTTCTTACAGAATAACCCTCTTTTCCTCAGAACATTTCAAATAGTGTTTGAAAGGAATAATCCTCTAAAGATATAAATGTAGCACCACTGTGGTGACATTACAATGTCTCTTGTCCATGCCATGTAGACTTGGGTAGCAAGTATGTTACATTTTGCTTCTTCACACAGTATAAATAAATGGGTAAAATATTCTCCTAATTTTCTTCCTTCTAAATTCATGAATCCAAGGAAACTCCTGCTGATAAATGAGAACTGAAACCTAAAGTCTGGGGAATGTCAGGATAAGCTTAAATCAAGAAAATATGTGAATCAGGCTGGGTGCAGTGGCTCACGCCTGTAATCCCAGCACTTTCGGAGGCTGAGGCAGACGAGTCACTTGAGGCCAGGAGTTCAAGACCAGCCTGGCCAAAATGGTGAAACTCCGTCCCTACTAAAAACACAAAAATTGTCCAGGCATGGTGGCACGTGCCTGTAGTCCCAGCTACTCGGGAGGCTGAGGCAGGAGAAATGACTGAACCCAGGAGGCAGAGGTTGCAATGAGTCAGGATTGTGGCACTGCACTGCAGCCTGGGTGACAGAGTGAGACTTTGTCTCAGAAAAAAAGAAAGAAAGAAAGAGAGAAAGAGAGAGACAGAGAGAGAAAGAAAGAAGGAAAAAGAAAGAGAGAAAGAAAGAAAGGAAGACAGACAGACAATAAATATGTGGATCATTAAAAATTTAGAACTAAAAAATGAACTACCATTTACTGAATGCCTACTATGAACCAAAGCATTACATTGTGAATTTTTAATTCACAAGACAGCAATCTGTGTTTTAACAAGCCTTTCAGGTGGTTCTTATGCAGATGAAAGTTGGAGAACCACTGCTCTAGGGACATACATATGTGAATGTTGGTATTTTGGAAGAAAGAAACAAACACTTTTGGATTTTAACAGACCTGGCAAGGTTTCCCCTGAAAGAGAAGGACATACTAAGGGAAATAAGGTGCCTGGGAACTCGGGAAGAAGAACCCTAGGGGGTAGGAGCAATGTTGAAGAAGAAATGGAGCTGTCACCTATGTCAGACACGCTGCATGTGTGCCTATTGCCCTATCACGAGCGTATTCAGGCAGAATAAACTAGGAGAGCCTTTCTGGAGGGTAAAGAGGGGATGTTTCAGATGTAGCCCAACTAGGTGATTTTATAATCCCTTTTTACCCCAGGGACACCATCATTCTGAATGTTCATAGGACTATCTTAAAAATATGTCACAGATGTAAGTGAATTTATAGATTGAGTTAAGAAAGAAATCGGGTTGGAAGAGAGGGCAAAGCAGGGGATGGAGAGAGAGAGCTGCATGAGTCAGACAGATTCAGACTTAATCCTTACAGTCACTTCCTAGCTGGTGATCTCAGGCAAATTACTTAATCTAGCTCAGGTTTTGTCCTTATCTATAAAAGGGGATAATCATACCTACCTCAGAGAATTGTTGGGAGGATTAAAAGAGATAATGACATGCTTGGCACCCATGGAACGCAACTGTCCGGAGGCAGCTTGCCAGCCCCGGTTCTCCCTCTAGCTAAAGGAAGTCATCCTACCTTTTTTTTGAAAGTAGGAGTTTTTCAATGGATTTTTCATTTTCATTATCTGCCTTGTCTTGTGTGATTAGAAATGACCAGAGAGAAATGAGTGTCGCCTTTCCTAAACTGGTTATATATCGGCCCTGTTCTCTCTTCCTGCTCCCAACCTCTCCAGTCTCTCCCTCAGCTCTTGCGTGGGTGGGGGTGGCGCCTCCGGCATGTTTGTATATTCCTCCAACACTCAGCCAGCTCTGCTCCAGAATCAGCCTTAATTAGTCATTTACCTAGCATAACTCAGCAAATCTGTGTTTGAAGTAGAATTATCCCATGTAGAATTTAATTTCCCTGTTTCCCATTTCACCTCAATAAGGTGAAATGGACTATTCGGCATGGAGAAGGCTTAGATCTCATTTTTCTTCAGTCTGCCTGTTTGGGATTTCTGAATTTAAAAGTAAATACCTCTTAGACACAGATGAATTCTTGCATGCCAGCTACCTGTCAAGTGTAGCAAATACTCAGCCAGCTACTGCATTAGGTTTTGGTTTAAAGCCACTCTAAATGATTTATTGTTTTTAAATTATTTACATGGCATTATTCCTTTCTTGTAAAATGCAAAAGTGCTGTCAGGAACAGCAGGGAAGCAAGGTTATGAATGGTACTACATGTAAATCAAAGTAATTAGAGGCTTCAAGTTGCAAATACTGACAAGTTCTCCACCAGCCACCACTTCACTGATGATAATAAAATTTGCATGATTTCCTGACATTATATTCACCACATATTTTCACTGCATGCTCACTGTAATTACTTAGGGCATGATCTCACACTTCTAGCAAGCAGAACTCTCACTGAACCCAGCCGTGACTATTACAGATGCTTAGAAATGAAGTGGATGGAATTAAGGGGAGAGTTCCCTACATAGCTTTAGGGATCTGTGATGTATCAACTGAATCTTGACAGGTAAGAAAAAGGGAAATATTCTCAACCACTCCTAAACTATTATCAGCTCAAATTATAATGACACTAAGGTATCTCGATGACAGAATTTGGAACCTGGGTTTACTGACAACTGATTTCTGCAATTTGTTTTCTGAATCTCTGATGTCAAGAAAGAAAAAGATCATCAAAGTTGATTTCAATCCCTAATATGGAAGTACATCAGACATAACTCTATGTGTAACTAAGGGAAAAAATTCTGTGTTATTTTTCAAAGATCAGAATGGACAAGTAAGAAGGATTAAAAATGCCAAAGATCAGCGGGCACCTCTAGAAGTATAGAGTGACTAAAGCAGTCAACTCAATGTCTGAATTCCGTAACCAACCTCTCATTTGGTCAAGTAATTCCTCAGTGCTTGGTGCAACATTCATTTATACCAGCACATAAATTCATACACTTTTCTTGTTTTGGCTCAGTGAACCAAACTTACATCTGACCATTTGCTCTTCTTTTCTAAACCTGGAGCACCCTCATATCTGTCTCAATAGAGGAGGAAAAATTTAGGTTTTGAACCATGTAATATACTATGAATGTACATATCAAAGATGAACATACTGTATAAACTAAAACTTAGTGATTAATAACCGTTCTTCTAACACTGAACTAAAAGACAGAAGAGAATAATTGATTCTGAGCTTTGCCTTGTGAACCATGGGAATTTATACAATTATTCAACCTCCGTCTCTTCAACCTAAAAGAGAGGAAATTACTCATACACATGCCATTGTCATGAGAATTGAAGAGAGAAGATGAAAGCACTCAGTACAGTACCTGGCATTGAATATGAATGCAAAGATAGAACAAATTATCCAGAAATGTCTTATCCTTTCATAGGTCTTCTATTTAGTTCACATTGCATGGAAAGTCTTATACAGAAAATTAGTGTCTGAGTTAAGAGCAACTTAGGAGGCAGCAAGAAAAGGAGCCTTATTTTTAAGAATTTAGTAACAGTCTATCAGACCTGAAATGAAAGACAATTTGGGGAATGAATAATCTCTCTTCCCTCACCATGGAGAGCAGCTGGTAACACTGCAATTTTTAAAAACAACCTAGTTGAGGCAATCAGATCTTAAATATTGGAAGTTATTGCTCCAAATCACAGTACTTCTAAACCCACAGGTATCTACTGGTAAACCTTTACAATAATGAAATTCATTAAAGATTCCCAGATCTTAGGCTGGCTCTGGTTAAAGTTTACAACCACAGTTACTAGATCTACCTTACCTAGACCAGTTACAATGCAGATATCTCCTTTCTCTGTATGAATATGTTGGGGAGGTGGTTACTTCTGTGATGGGAAGGTCTATGAACTTGTAGTAACATATAAGCAATCTTTATAAAAGTCTGTTGTAAATAGTTTGTGTTAATTAGCCTAAAGATGACATCAAGCTCTGCGGTAGGTTTACTCATATTTAATTATATCCATTTTAAACCATTTTAAACTACTCTCCAGTAGTAACTTACGAGATTTCTGGAATGTGTTTAGTAATCCACTGAGAAGACTGACTCAGAGTCATAGAAGAAAGATATCCAGTGTGTCCAACTGCCGTGACTGTTGACTTCCATCATCTGTTACCCACACTTTAAGATGAATAGGGAATGCATCAAAAGTACATAGTTCAATTAGCCCAATAGCAAGTATGAAGCTATTATGTAGATGTGACATATTTTCTGTTAAATCATATGAGTGGTCATAACTTCTGCTAAAAATATGCATGTCATTTCTCAAGTGCCCTTTCTTTTGCCCTCAATTGTATTTTGAAGACAAAACAAACCATCTTTCGTGGCATTCAGCAGTCTGCTCATTTTGTTGCTGTTGACAATAGTGTTCTCATTTCTTCTACTCAAGATACGTGGAAAATAGTCTTAACAAACCTGATAGACACAAGATCATATGCTTTTTGAATGAGCGCCTTACTACTGAATGTGTGGCTTATTGTGGAAATATTTAAGCGCACCTTAAGGTCAGTTATTATAAGGGCTATTACCATCGTTTCCCACTTTAGTGGGCTTTTAATCAAATGTCTTAATTTATAATTAATTTAGCAGCTGGTCAGCCAACATGGTTAAAACTAATGAGTAAGTTTATGTATTTTATAAAACCTTATATTTGGATACTGCCTTAGCAGCAATTTATTCCAACTTCTTACGTCTTTGTGTATACATTTCTATCTTTGTCTTGGTTTGTTGTCAAGTTTGTGTTTACAATTGTTTGGTTTTTTTCCTTCTCTCTCTTTTCATTTGAAAAGAATTTATTCTGAGAAAGAATAAAAGTCTTAGGAAAGAAGTGAGCTTCTGTATCAGAGATTGGTGGGAGTATGCTCTATCTTGGGAGAGTCAAGCTGAAGGTAAGATTTAAACCTCATAGGAGAGTTTAATGTTTTTGATTACCTCTAAGGTAAAATAATCTCATTTATTCTTTCTACCCCAGAGTGGAATGATGTTAAAAGACCTTACACCAGCATGTTTGACTGTGTGTTCTAAGAGAAGACTTTCTCTTATTCATATCTATACACCTTTCTTTCTAAAAGGAGTTTACAGAGGCCTGGGGAATTATGGTGAAAGAACAGAGTTCTACATGATAACATTTACAGTCTGAACAGACAGTTCAGTCCTAAACATATCCAATTCGGAAACCGAGTTAGAGGGGAAGCAGCCGAAAACCCAGATCTCATTGCTGAGAAACTTTACAATTTATCAGGTCAAACCCCAATAAGATGTCCAAGCTCTTCCAGTTAATTTGTGGCAGAGCTAAGTTGAAGAATAAATTTCTATTGCCGGTCTCAGTTCCTTCCTTTATAGAGCACTAAACACAAATGGCTCCCAGCTTTAGAGAACTTACACAACCAATAATATAAAACACATGGAACAACCAGAGAAAGAATAAGACTTCTCTAGTCATTTTTATATACCTGCAAATAGTATGGTAAATACTAGCTGTCAACAAAATGCATGGCTTCTTGAAATTATATTTAAAATGGTTATGTTAATATAATTTTTAATTGCTGCTGAGTCTAATTTGAAACTGATATTATTTAATAATGTATATATGACCCACAAGATAAAATGAAGCATGCGTCAAGCAATTGTCAACTCAGTCAATTGAGCATAGTAAGGAGGACATACTGTGTCCGGAATTGGAGGGTTCTTGGTCTCACTGACTTCAAGAATGAAGCCGCGGACCCTCGCAGTGAGTGTTACAGTTCTTAAAAGCGGCGTGTCCAGAGTTTGTTCCTTCTGACGTTGGGATGTGCTCAGAGTTTCTTTCTCCTGGTGGGTTCGTAGTCTCGTTGGATCAGGAGTGAAAAAGCAGACCTTCGTGGTGAGTGTGTCAGCTCATAAATGCAAAGTCGACCCAAAGACTGAGCAGCAGGAGGATTTATTGTAAATACCAAAAGAACAAAGCTCCCACACTGTGGAATGGGACCCAAGTGGGTTGTCACTGCTGGCTCGGGCAACCTGCTTTTATTCCCTTATCTGGCCCCCACCCACATCCTGCTGATTGGTCCATTTTACAGAGAGCCGATTGGTCTGTTTTACAGAGAGCTGATTGGTCCATTTTGACAGGGTGCTGATTGGTGCGTTTACAATCCCTGAGCTAGACACAGAAGTTCTCCACGTCCCCACTACAGTAGCTAGATACAGAGTGTCGATTGGTGCATTCACAAACCCTGAGCTAGACACAGGGTGCTGATTGGTGTGTTTACAAACCTTGAGCTAGATACAGAGTGCTGATTGGTGTACTTACAATCCCTTAGCTAGACATAAAGGTTCTCCAAGTCCCCACCAGAGTAGCTAGATACAGAGTGTCGATTGGTGCATTCACAAACCCTGAGCTAGACACAGGGTGCTGATTGGTGTGTTTACAATCTCTTAGCTAGACATAAAGGTTCTCCAAGTCTCCACCAGACTCAGGAGCCCAGCTGGCTTCACCCAGTGGCTCCCGCACTGGGGCAGCAGGTGGAGCTGCCTGCCAGTCCCGCCCGTGTGCCTATGCTTCTCAGTTGTTTGGTGGTCGATGGGACTGTGCACCGTGGAACAGGGGGCGGCGCTCCTTGGGGAGGCTCAGGCTGCGCAGGAGCCCACGGCATGGGGGAGGCTCACGCATGGCAGGCTGCAGGTCCCAAGCCCTGCCTGGCAGGGCGGCAGCTAAGGCCCAGCGGGAAGTCGAGCACAGAAGCTGCTGGCCCAGGTGCTAAGCCCCTCACTGCCCAGGGCCTGCAGGGTTGGCCTTCCCACTCGGAGTGCGGGGGCCCACCAAGCCCACGCCCACCTGGAACTTGCGCTGGCCCGCAAGCACCGTGGGCAGCCCCAGTTCCCGCCCGCGCCTCTCCCTCCACACCTTGCTGCAAGCTGAGGGAGCCGGCTCCAGCCTTGGCCAGCCCAGAAAGGGGCTCCCACAGTGCAGCTGCAGGCTGAAGGGCTCCTCAAGCACGACCAGTGTGGGCGCCAAGGCTGAAGAGGTGCGGAGAGTGAGCGAGGGCTGTGAGGGCTGCCAGCACACTGTCCCCTCTCAATACTATTTAAAATTTTAATCTAGATTATATGGTTAATGGTTGACTTTGGACCTAAATTATCTAGGCCATGTCCTCATTTCCTTGTGCCAAGATAAATATACTACAAAATACGATTTTTTAGAAGTTGATTAGATTAAAGCTGGTTACCAACATTAAAAAATAAAAGTTAATGTCAGAAGATTCAAGACAAAAGTATATTTGGCACAGTAAAGAACACATTGTGGCTTATACCAAATGCTTCGATCTTCTGCTTCATCTGTAAAATAAGGATACATTTTTCTAACTTGCTAAGTTTTTGTGAGGGTAAAAACCAGTCATTTCTCTTATAGCTCAACAGGTATTTCTAAAAAAATCACTGCAATATGCAAAATTGTGGAATAAAAACCACAGGACTCATAAGAAAACAGGGTTAAGGGATTAATACTCAAAAACTTCATGAGGCAGCACTATTTACAATAGCAAAAACAGAACCAACCCAAATGCCCATCAATACTATACTAGATAAAGAAAATGTGGTATATATACACCGTGGAATACTATGCAGCCATTAAAAGGGATGGGATCATGTCCTTTGCGTGGACATGGATGAAGCTGAAAGTCATAATTCTCAGCAAACTAATGCAGGAGCAGAAAACCAAACACTGCAATTTCTCACTCGTAAGTGGGCATTAAACAATGGGAACACATGGACATACAGAGGGGAAGGACACACACTGGGGCTAGTTGGGCATTAGGGGGCGAGGGGAGGGAGAGCAGTAGGACAAATAGCTAATGCATGCAGAACTTAAAACCCAGATGATGGGTTGACAGGTGCAGTGAACCACCATGGCACACATATACCTATGTAACAAGCCTATGTAAACAAACATGTTCTGCACATGTATCCTGGAACTTAAAGTAAAATAAAAGTAAATAAATAAATAAAATTAAAAACAAACCTGGCCGGGCGCAGTGGCTCACGCCTGTAATCCCAGCACGAGGTCAGGAGATCAAGACCATCCTGGCTAACACGGTGAAACCCCGTCTCTACTAAAAATACAAAAAAATTAGGGGCGTGGTGGCGGGTGCCTGTAGTCTCAGCTACTCGGGAGGCTGAGGCAGGGGAATGGTGTGAACCCGGGAGGCGGAGCTTGCAGTGAGCCAAGATCGTGCCACTGCACTCCAGCCTGGGCGACAGAGCCAGACTACGTTTCAAAAAACAAACAAACAAACCTTCTTCAGAGACATGGAAAAAAGGATAAGGGCCCAATAAAAAGTACACATAGTCTTAAACATGTTAAAAGTTTAAGAAATATACAAATACTATAATAAATAGAGCATCTTACCTTTAAAGGGGTCTGAAGTTTGCTTGTACTTAAGTTTCTAGTGTGTTCTGTGTAAAAGAAGAAGAGAAGAAATAAACTGAGAAAAAAAGCTTCTACCATAAAGGAAAGATAAAGAGAAAAAGAAAAGAGAACAGAGAGGAAAAATTCAAAAAAGCTTAAAAAGAGGGACAAAAATAGGAGGATGCATGCTGCGCTGCATGAGTAGGGTAGCAATAGAAAGGGTTGTGGCTTGTGAGGTATTGTCAAGTGGTTTGTATTAGCCTTCCCAGGCTGCCATAACAAAATACCACAGACTAGGTGGGTTAAACAACAAATTTATTTTTTCAGTTCTGGAAGCTGGAAGTCCCAGATCAAAGTGCCAGCAGATTCAGTTCCTATTGAGGGCTCTTTTGCCGGCTTACAGAGGGTTGCCTTGTTGCTTTCTCCTCACTTACTGTTTTTCTGTGCATGAGGGGAAAGAGAGCTCCAGTGTCTCTTCCTTTGTTTTTAAGGACCAGTCCTAATGGATTAGGGACTCATCCTTCTGACTTCATTTAACCTTAATTATCTCCTTAATGCCCACATCTCCAAATACAGTTATATTAGGGGTGAGGACTTCAACATATGAATTTTAGGGGGAAACAATTTAGTCCACAACATGTTTGAAGGAGGGGTATCTGATGGAAAATTGTAATGCCAGGTATGAATAGGTATGGCTTATTGATCTCATGAGGTATGTGTATGTATATATTGCGTATTCCCACATAGCTCAGTTCAGCTGAAATATCTAGTGTTTCTCACAGATGAAATTGCATATGAGTTAACACAAAATTTACATTATGCTCAAATTGTTTCCTAATCTATCAATGGAGTTGGAACAAATTAGGGTTTTCGAAACAACTGTTGTAGCAAAACTGACCGTACTCATTCAATCAATAAATATTACCTGAAACTATAAAACTACTGGAAGAAATGCTTCACAGCATAATTTTTATAGGAGAAACACTTCACGACATTGGGCTGGGTGAAAATTTTTTAAGTAAGACCTCAAAAGCACAGGCAACAAAAGCAAAAATAGACAAACGGGATTACATCAAATGAAAAAGCTTTCATACAGTGAATGAAACAAGAGTGAAAATAAAACCTACAGGATAGGAGAAAATATATGTAAACTATACATGTGACAAGGGGTTAATATCCGGTATATAAAGGGAACTCAATGCAAAAATAATAATAATAATAATAATAATAATAATAATCCAATTTAAAAGTGGGCAGAAGACCTTAGCAGACTTTGAAGACAAACAAATGGCCAACAGATATATGAAAAAAATGCTTAATGTCATTAATCATTTATGCTAAATACAAGTGAAAACCACAACAAAATACCACCTCACTCTAGTTAGAATGGCTATTATCAAAAAAGACAAAAGAAAACTATTGGCAAGGATGTGGAGAAAAGGGAACGCTTACACATGGTTTTTGGGATTGTAAATTAGTGCAGCAATTATGAAACACAGTAGGAAATTTCCTCAAAATATTAAAAACAAAACTACCCTATTACCCAGCAATCCCCCTACTAGGGATATATCCAACAGAAATATACATGTTGAAAATGTATCTGCACTCCCATGTTTATTGCAGCATTATTTACAATAGCTCATATATGGAATCAAATTAGTGTCCAACAATGGATAAACACATAAAGAAAATGTGGTAAATATACACAATAAAATACTTTTCAGCCATAAAAGAAAATGAAACCCTGTCATTTGGACAACATGGATGAACCTGGAGGATATAATTTTATGTGAAATAAGTCAAACACAGAAAAACAAATACAAAAGTTGATATTGTAGAAGCAGGTAGTGGAACAGTAATTACCAGAGACTAAGTGGGGAGGGGTGGGGGGAAGGAAAGATGGGGAGAGGTAGGTCAACAGGTACAAGTTACAATGAGATAGAAGGAATAAGTTCTAGTGTTCTGTTGCACAATAGGGTGACTATGGTTAACAATAATGTATTGTATAATACAAAATATCTAGAAGAGAGGCTTGTGAATGTTCTCACCACAAAAAAATGATAAATACATGAGATGATGGAAATGCTAGCTGCCCTAATTTGATCACTATATAACATATATGTGTATTGAAACATCAAATTGTATCCCATAAAGATGTACAATTATGTGTCAATTAAAAATGGTTTAATATTGGAAAAAAAGAAAGTATAATATTCACATTACTTTTGATGGATTATCCTAAAATTAATCAAAGAGTAGTTATGTATTTGTATATTTGCTGGTGAATGTCTCAGTTTTACGCCATACAGATATTTATTAATATTAATATGCTATTTAGTGTTGATCATAAGGCAGATCCTTAGAATCTTGACCACATCCAGCAAGGGCATAGATAAATTGTCTAGGGGAGCTTGCAAACATGGTGATACCACATTAGGGTTTAAGGCTTTCCTAATCCTTCTACAAAATTTACCTTACTGAAAAATTGGTAAATCGTTGGGAGGTTTTTCATGTTCGGCCAGAGAATTAATTGCACTTTCAGACAAACTTAGCATTCCAGTTGGAGAGCTTATTAGAATTAAAGCTTGACTAATCATTCTGGCTAATTGTATAGTTCACTTACTTTCAACCCTCTAGCCTTTTCTAGAATAGGGAATATTGTCATTCCAATAAATAAATAAATATCGAGTACCTCCTCTGTGGCAGGTCCACACCAGGAACCAGAAATCCTGCAGTGAAGAAGCCAAGCGAAGGGTCTTTACACAAGGTGTTTACATTCTATTGGGGGGAAACAGACTTACTTATATAACCCTGAGGAAATCAGTCAACACCAAAGTATACAAGATAATTAAGGAGCATGAAAAATGCACTAACAAAAATAAGAAGGGGATGAGATGGAGTAAGTAGGGGAAGACACTTCAAACAGTCATCAGGGAAGGCATCTCTGAGGAGAGAAGGAGTAGAATAGCTGAACAATTGGGGGAAAGGCATTCCAGGCATTGGGTTAAAGCAGAGTTAGTGAGGTGGAAGAGACTAGGGGATGGAACAAGAGAGGGAGGAAAGGACTAGCTCCATCTTAGTGGGCTGGGAAGCCACTGAAGAGTTCTGAGCAGGAAAAAGACGTGATTTCTGTTTTTAAAATTTCACTTTGACTTCTCTGTAAAATCCACTGTAGTGAGAAGAAGAGAGACCAGTTGAGAGGATATAGCAACAGGTCAAGCCAAAGATGAGATATGGAGTAGAGACAGAGAAAGAACTCAGAATTTGTTTAAAGGTTTAGCCAAAAGGAGTTGCTGGCGTACTGGATGAGGGTTATGAGAGAAAGGAAAGACACAAGAATGATTCCAAATTTTTGGCTCGAGTCACTGAATAAATCATCATGCTGTTTATTAAACTGTAGAAGTCTGGAAGCTTAACTGGTTTGGGAACAAGAGTTGAGTTTTGAACATGTCAGCCTTCAGATGCCTGTTAGATATCCTGTAGCAATATAGAATTGCTGCAACAGGCAGTTGGCTACGTGAATGTGAAATTCTGGGAGAGGTTGAGGCTGGAGATTTAAATGTGGAAGTCGTCAGCATACATCTGGTATGTAAGGCGGAGGTGAAATCACGTAGGAAGTGAGTTTACAGAAAGAACACAAAGGAGGCAAAAACTGAGCCCTGGGGTCCCACAAGGTTTACAGGTCAGGTAAAAGAGGAGCTAGCCAAAGAGACAGGAAGAAATAGCTGCTGAGGTAGCAGAAAGGCCAGGTGTATGTGGCACTTTGTAAAACATGTAAAAATGTGTTTTATGAAGAAAGGCTGACCAACTTTTTGAGAGACTTTCAGAAATGTCATTAATAAGTCCCAAATTGATCACATGCCTTGCATAATTTAGGAAAAGACAGTCCATGTGCCTTAGTATTATATGTACAAACACATACAGCTAATGTTTTGGGAGGCTGAGCAAAGAATTAAGGCCTCAAGATCACGCTTTGGATAAAGAATATTTTAGGCTTTGTATAGCCACTGAAACTTTTGAATTTTGTCTTGCTTATGAGTATAAACTTCTTTATGCCCATGAGAATGTTGAAATATGCCTTCATCTCTGATTGTAGAAAGAGGATCCTCTTCTTATTCCCCTCACACTTTTCTCTGGCAGTCCAGGCCCTCCCTTGTGCTTCCTGACCACAATACCTTTTCCCAGAGAATGGATTCCCCAGCAACACTCTGAGGCTGAGAGTAGCACACAGCACGTTCACAGGGAGTGATCTTCAGAGTTACAATTGTACATAGTAGTGCCAGACCTAGCAAATAAAACTACAGGATACCTATGCAATATTTGGAACATACTTATACAAAAAATTATTGTTTATCTAGAATTCAAATGTAGTCGAGAGTATTGTCTTGTATCTGTGTCCCTACCTGTAAGGAAATGAAAAAGGCAGGGTGGAGGGAGAAAATTGTCTTCTCTATGTCGGCAGCTGGGGCCTCAGCTGATCCTAGGGGTGCCTTGAAGCTGCTATGGCCCTTCATATTGATTAAAAATCGTGGCAAGGGGGTCAGGCCATTGTATTTCTGAATCAGCTAGTTATTGGCCTCAGGGTACCCTGGGAATGAATGTAACCTTGGTAGTTGCCTAAGGTAAGAGGCACGGCCTTGAGCAGCTGCATATTCAGCAGCTGAGTTATGAGCACTGAAAAGGGAATTTGGACCAAGCATCAAGGTATCTTAGGTTTAAATGCTAACTTCTTAGAAGCCATTCATTTCCTTTTAGGTGGTTTACTTCTATATCTAATTAGATAAGGCAGCTAAATATATTCTGAATGCTTTAAGTGCTACATTAAAACTAAAAAGCGCTGTTCAAAAGTAAGGTGGCAGTACTTATTACAGTAGTCCAGCTCTGCCCTCGTGGGATATATAGAGCATATTTTTTTAATTTTTCGTCTTCTCATCTAGACTACAAGCTTCTTGAGGGAAGAAACCAGGTCTTATTTATCTCTACACCCATCACTTGTGGCATATTTGGCATATAGTAAGTACTCAAACAATGTCTATGGAAAACAGACAGGGAATAACTAAGCAAACCATCCAAATGATAACTAACAAGAGTTAGACCTACCCTCTGCGAGGGTGGAGGGAAAGTGATATTAGGCCCCAAAAGCAACGTGCGACATCATTTTTATTTTTCCTCTTATTTTCTTAAGCAAAGCAAAACTGGCTCTACTTTCCCTGGCCTTTGAGTCTCTTTTTTAGGCAATTAATAAATCTCGACCAATCTCTGAATCATTCGGTTCACTAGATGTTCACTCAGTCACTGAGTGCATTATTGTTTGGATGCCTGATTCATGACATGTTTTAAAGAGCTAAGGAGACATGGATCCTTTCCCACTTGGGTCTCTTTAGGAAACTTTGGAAACTTCTGGAAACTTTGAGGGTCTTCTTCCTAAAGGGAAGAAGACATTCTACACTCTGGTGAGAAGAACAAGAGGCTCCTATTTCTCTCTTAACCTGAAACCTCACCTCTTATGAATGTTTCTTTCTATTAACCCTTGAGTGAATCACACTGATGCTTAATGATAATCCTCTGATGGACATGCTTTCTCTCTTAGAATGAGTGTTAACATGAAATGGTCTCCAGATTCCCTAAAGCCAGACTAGTGATCCCAAATTTTAACCACATTGGATCTTGCCTGCACATCCTGCCTCTGGCTGCACACCCACCTTTACGCCCACGGCATGAAGCTGTGACCACAGAGGCAGAAACTTGCAGGGTGGTCTTCTGAGCACACCCTAGGGGAAAGAGACATGAAATATTTATTGACTGCAGGCCAATGTTACAGGAACGCTGGCTGAAACCACTGCAAGGGTGCCTCTATAACAACCAAAGTAGACACAGCAACATTTGCCAACCCCCTTAAATGTCCTGGGGGAGGTTTGTTTGCACTAATCCTAGCAGTCCAAAAAGCAGCAGCTGTTCTCAAAGGAAGTCTGATATATATATATAATCCTTTATTTAAGACCAACAGTGGGAGGTGGTGTTTAATGAAAAAGGTGCTAAATTGTTAACAATGTTCTTGCTTCCAGCAAACAGGTAGAAAAAGAACTGAAATGTTAAGCAATACTCAGGACCATATTTAATAATACATCTTGATTTTTTAATTCATGCATTTTTTTCTGTGCTATAGACATCTTTGTCTTGGGAAATAAATTTGGGAAGCACAGGTGAGTTTTTTTCCAATTTCTGAGCAATCCTGGAATCAGATCGTATTGCTTTTCCAATCCCAGCTGTAAGGTAAATGTTTGTTATAGCAGATGGAATTAGAAAAGCCTGCACACAATTTTCTTACGTTCTATTGGATCCCTAATTATCTTAAAATAAGCATAGAAACATCTTGCATCTTTGATAACATCCTGTAGGTTAATATTCAATAAAAAATGCGATAAATTCCCAAAAGGAGCATCAAAGAAACTTGAGAGTTACTTCTAAAATGTGTAATGTAAACTACAGCTTAAGGTTTTGGATCCATCCTGGTAAACAGTGACCCAACATACTAAATTCCTTTGGCAAGAATAAGTGTCATTTTTAACCTACCAAGAACTGGATATCGTATTCTAAAGCTATGGTTCACTTCCCTAATATTATCAGCAAGAATGTAAATTTCCCTCAAACCAATGTGTTTAATTCTATTCCCAGAACCCCAGCATAATGCCAGGTATAAGGGGTTAAATGAACACTGAATGCTTTTATTAGAAACTTACTAGTGGTTTCTGCCATAAATTATTAGCAATCAAGAAATCATTATTCTTTTAGTTTGCTTGGCTCCTTTGGACCTTGGAGTTTTGCTAGACTGAGTTGATTTTGTGTCATTAAACATTAAACTCCCTTGACTAGTGGAGAAATCTTGTGGTTTGTGCTCTGCACCAGCAAGGTGGGATGCGTGTGTATTTTTCTCATTTGTTCGCTTGCTCACCAAATGGTAAAGGCTGAGAATCTTAGGCAACATGATATCTAAAGTGAAAACAAACTCTCTGTCAGAGCTGATCTGTTGTTTTACACAGTGATACAACAAATGTGGCAACATAAATAAATGGGCATGAATTTTCCTTCTAATCATAACTTAAAGGAACTCCAGATCTCAGACAAAATTTATGGTAGTTATTGCCATAACGGTTATTCTTTAATTACTTAAACAGAAAACATATTTTTCTCCCCTTTGAAATTCATCTTTTATGCAAAAAAAAAAAACAAGAATTGACTGAGAACATACGCTTTTATACTACTTTCTGTTTCCAGATTTGAAACTCATTCTCTCACATGCTCCATTAAGATGGTGACTGTTAGAGAAATCTTTGTATATTCTCCTTGTACAATTAATATTTTAGTATACAGGTATGCTTAATCTCAGACATTCTGTGTTAAGGCAAATGTAGGACAACTAGCTAACTTTAAAAAGTGCAAATATATAACCAGTGTCAGAAGTTATAGAATGCACACATCCTACAATGACAACCCTATCATAAAATGGAGTACTATCAGGGAAGCTCAGCCATAATTGCACTCAGGAAGGTAAAAGACATTGGTGTTTCCTCCTCAGCAGAAATTCACCTCCCTGTATGAAAATCTGATAAATTGTCCAGTTTCCCACAGAGGGAACGACAGAGAATTTAATGAGAAACACATTGGAGCTGGACCTGTCACTGTGTGATTATGCATTCACTAATCTCTCTGTAGGATACAGAAAAATGTCAGTCTTCTCTGAAAGAGTTTATCTAGGGAAAGGGACAAGCACATCTAGAAATAAATTACCAAAAAGAAATGTCTTTACTCTCCCACTGATACCTACTGGCATCCTACTAGACTGCTTGTTTGGCCTACAAATAGCAAAAGCACTGGGATTTGCACAGTAACCTATTTTTATGATTGCTAGTGAAATTGAAGTGTCATATGATGACATGTATTGATACTTAAATGCAGCTGCAAGTGCCTGATATTTTTAGTTTGGTCTAAAAATTTATGTTTGAGAACTTCAAGTACAGTAGGAGGGGCAGTGGATGTTCTTACTCTTATTGTAGGAGACATTTCATATTTAACATGAAATTCTCTTACCTGTCATCATCATTTTTGTCCGATAAATCTTATTCAGCACATGTATACATCCTAAAAGCATTTCTGAGCAACTAACATATGCCAGGAACCTATAATTATAATTACACACTAAGTTTTGTGAATAACTAGAATATCCAATAGCCTCTACAAAGTGTTTAAGCCAGAGGAACACATCATTCAAGTTTGCTTTTCGCTAAGAGCATTTATTGAGTTATTTTTATTAGCCTGATTTTAGGGTGGGAAATGTGCAATGAGGGCAGACATATTTTCTCCAGAAGTTCAAAATATGAGAGTACATTGAAGTAAATATACACAAGGAACTACTAAACAAGCACTGAGCAAGTCCAAGAATGTCTTGCTAGCTGAGTGCCTTGTGCAAGGAGGGATCTCAGAAAACATTTCCTGAATTTTTGGGAAAGTAAGGGAATGGTGACAGAAAATTGTGTCCTGAGCTATCTTATTTGGAGGCATGATGTCAAGAAGAAATTACTCATATTTCTTCAAGAATTTCTAGAAGACTTCATGTAGAATGGGGAACTTTAATCACAAAAGAGCTGTTTTTAAAATTGCATGTTTAATTAAGTAGGGCTATTTATTATCAACAATGATACCACTCTGACCATTCTTCCTCCAGGTTAATTCAAATTTTTTACATCCTTCATAAAATGCTAAGCCCAAAATCGATCCTAGCTTTGTAAATGTCTTGATCAAATCTCACACACTTATTCAGTGGATATTTTTTAAACTAAGAAAAGATCTTTTAAAAAGATCTATGTTTATAACTTCATTGACAGCTTTTTTTTTCACGTGGTTGTCCAGTTTCATCTGGACGTAAATTTAGTTTCATTAGAGAAGGAACTATGTCCCTTTTTATGATCTCATAGAACTTTCAACATTGTAAGAATCCTACAATCACTGGTAATAAATCTAGAAATCATGTTAGAGATCAAATGGTGAAGGGTAAAACAGGTGCTAGAGAGTGACTTGTGATATTTATGTCTGAATAAAGACAAAAACAATTTAATAAACTAAAACATAAATGAGAGTTCTTGGTTTATAATCTAATATTATTTTTATTGCATAAAATTGCTGAAATACTGATTGATGATGTGTAGCCCAGCTGACTGATTCAATGTCATAAAAATTCTTAGATGTCTACCAATGACTTTCTTCACAGAATTGGAAAAAACTACTTTAAAGTTCATATGGAACCAAAAAAGAGCCCGCATCACCAAGGCAATGCTAAGCCAAAAGAACAAAGCTGGAGGCATCACACTACCTGACTTCAAACTATACTACAAGGCTACAGTAACCAAAACAGCATGGTACTGGTACCAAAACAGAGATATAGATCAATGGAACAGAACAGAGCCCTCAGAAATAATGCTGCATATCTACAACTATCTGATCTTTGACAAACCTGACAAAAACAAGCAATGGGGAAAGGATTCCCTATTTAATAAATGGTGCTGGGAAAACTGGCTAGCCATATGTAGAAAGCTGAAACTGGATCCCTTCCTTACACTTTATACAAAAATTAATTCAAGATGGATTAAAGATTTAAATGTTAGACCTAAAACCATAAAAACCATAGAAGAAAACCTAGGCAATACCATTCAGGACATAGGCATGGGCAAGGACTTCATGTCTAAAACACCAAAAGCAATGGCAACAAAAGACAAAATTGACAAATGGGATCTAATTAAACTAAAGAGCTTCTGCACAGCAAAAGAAACTACCATCAGAGTGAACAGGCAACCTACAGAATGGGAGAAAATTTTTGCAATCTACTCATCTGACAAAGGGCTAATATCCAGAATCTACAATGAACTCAAACAAATTTACAAGAAAAAAACAAATAACCCCATCAAAAAGTGGGCTAAGGATAGGAACAGACACTTCTCAAAAGAAGACATTTATGCAGCCAAAAAACACATGAAAAAATGCTCATCGTCACTGGCCATCACAGAAATGCAAATCAAAACCACAATGAGATATCATCTCATACCTGTTAGAATGGCAATCATTAAAAAGGAAACAACAGGTGCTGGAGAGGATGTGGAGAAATAGGAACACTTTTACACTGTTGGTGGGACTGTAAACTAGTTCAACCATTGTGGAAGTCAGTGTGGCGATTCCTCAGGGATCTAGAACTAGAAATACCATTTGACCCAGCCATCCCACTACTGTGTATATACCCAAAGGATTATAAATCATGCTGCTATAAAGACACATGCACACATATGTTTATTGCAGCACTATTCACAATAGCAAAGACTTGGAACCAACCCAAATGTCCAACAATGATAGACTGGATTAAGAAAATGTGGCACATATACACCATGGAATACTATGCAGCCATAAAAAATGATGAGTTCATGTTCTTTGTAGGGACATGGATGAAGCTGGAAACCATCATTCTCAGCAAACTATTGCAAGGACCAAAAACCAAACACCACATATTCTCACTCATAGGTGGGAATTGAACAATAAGAACACATGGACACACGAAGGGGAACATCACATACCGGGGCCTGCTGTGGGGTGGGTGGAGAGGGGAGGGATAGCATTAGGAGATATACCTAATGCTGGATGACAGGTTGGTGGGTGCAGCACACCAGCATGGCACATGTGTGCATGTGTGACAGACATGTGCATTGTGGACATGTACCCTAGAACTTGAAGTATAATAATAATAAAATTTAAAAAAAAATTCTTAGATGTAAAGATGCCTCACCTGACTCCACTCAGGTTGGATCAGCATCTTGTTCCCTTTTCTCCCCTGAGACTTTCAAATAGGGCAGAGTAAGATGGAGGAGGTAACTCTTTGTCTCTGCTAATACCTAATCATATAATCTTATTTCAAAAATTGGCCAGTACAGTTGGATTGACTACAAAAAAAAATTAGGCCTTGTCCATTTATCCAGAGGTTTCCTTCAAAACTTTTAAAAAATTTTATCACCTAAAATGGATTTTAAATTATCAGAATTTAGATGTAGCAATTAAGTAAATCTTAAAGGAGGTGTAGAATTCCTTTAAGAAGTTATTGTCTGCTTCCCATTGCAGCAATGTCTGCAATACTACTTTTTTTAATGAGCCCAGAAACAATTCTCTGCAACTGTAAAAATTATGCCAGAATGCAAGTTTTTGGTTAGTGCCATAGTTTCGTTTTGTTATTGAAAATGGGATAAGTCATGATTTATTCCCTCCCTTCTATGGAAGGGTAAAAAATGTTAATGGTAAGAAAGTTATTACATTTTCTATTTCAAGATTGATTTAATAAGAAATTTACCTACCAGATTTATGATGTTTTATTTTTAGCTACAAGAAATAAAAGCTTAAAAATAACAGAAATAAAAGCCTTAGTTTTATATATGTAATTTTTATAATATATACACAAACTTGGAAATAACTTCTGTCAGTATCCCTTATTATTGTCACATGATTTTGAACTTCTGGACCAATATAATTCAGCTGAAAGAACCAAGAAAATTAATATGCACCTGTACTCTCAAATTAGTCTCTTTAGAAGGAAGTGAAGAGAGACTCTTGAAAGATAAATCACAGTGTTACTACATCTTATTGAAAATTTCTATTTATCTCTATAGATGTTCCACATAAAGAAATCTTAAATAATTAAACATAATATAATTGATAAAACTGACATGTTAGTCTGGAGATGTTTGTCACCTATAGACAAAATAGACTCCTAAATATTAATATAAAAGTTATTGTTGTGTTTAGATGAACATAACCATAACCAAATAATTTTATTTGATATTTGGTGGTTCTAGTTACTTAAAATAATAAAAAGCTACATAAGCAAGAACCCTCTTAGAAAGTTGTAAGCATTAGTATAGACTTATATTTATACATGTTTTCTGTACATAAGTTCATTTAATTAATTGATGTAGGTAACTTTATGCTTCACTAAGCATTAATTATACATCATTGTACCTGTAATCCCAGCACTTTGGGGAGGCCGAGGTGGGCAGATCATGAGGTCAGGACTATCAAGAGGCCAGGATTGAGACCATCCTGACCAACATGGTGAAACCCCGTCTCTACTAAAAATACAAAAATTAGCTGGCGTGGTGGCATGAGTCTGTAATCCCAGCTACTTGGGAGGCTGAGGCAGGAGAATCCCTTAAACCAGGGAGTTGGAGGTTGCAGTGAGCCGAGATCATGCCACTGCACTCCAGCCTGGTGACAGAGCAAGACTCTGTCTCAAAAAAAAAAAAAAAATCATTTTGTATGGCCAGTAAAGACAAGTGTAATTGTGTAATTTAATATTTTCTTTTTAATTTTAGCATGGCTTTAAATTTTGAAATTAATGATTCCTGACTTGCATAATATATATTTAGTAGCTATCCTACTTTCACGTTAATATGCTAATCAAATCAAACCAGGAGTATAAGATAAACTATTACATTTGAGTTTAATGTAGCCTACAAGCAACATTTAGCCTATACAACTTATGCATTGACGTGGCTTATTGTTGACCATCATTATTATCTTTCCCTTCACTTATTAGGAACATATGTTTACTAGTTCCTGTTTGGCAGCTAAAATTTTTCATGTGCCCTAAGAACTTGGTATACAGTGCACAATACTTAACAATAGATTAGAATAAACTAGAGTAATATTTTTAGCTTTAGGCTGTGTAAACAGGGTCATATGCCATTTGGATGAGAGTTGAACATACTAAAAAATTTCATTGTTTCATTTAACCCAGAAATACTTTAAAGTATAAATTAGTTCAATTTTTGTAGCATTTCATTTTATGCTATTTAAACATTATGCATTCAGTGGAAAGAATGCTTAATCAGATAATTGGCTTTATAATAAAACACTATACTGATGTATACATATAATGTTTTAGTTGATGGATGGGTTTTTTAATATATTATTTGTTATATATATGTGTGTACTATTTTCCCATCAAATTAAAGCAATCTGCTTATATGGTAGCTAGTTCAATTTTGGTAAGTTTCCACTTTGTATTTGTGCACCAAAATAAATCATAGTTTGCTTTAAGAAAAAAATAGTTTATAAGTACACTTTAAACATGTTTAAATGCAAACCATGAAGTTTCTATGAACCCTTTTGTTACTACTAAAGCCATATGTTTAGCCTTTAGCTATGCCTTTTTTGCCACATTTCTGAATGTAAGATAAACGTGTATTTTGCAGAACTTTATTAAAATGATTACCTGAGAATAAATTTTGTAAATTTTCTTAAGTTAAATTTTCTGTGATTTATGTCCAGCAGTCAGTATTTAGGTTGAAATTAAATGCCATTTCAACACAACAAATTCCCAAATTAAGTTACCTCTATCAAAAGGCCAGTTTTTTTAATAAACATCAGAAGTTTCCTTATAAAAGGGCACATCTATTCACTGGATTGGTTACCTTTAGGAAGGGAAGCTCAAAGAGTGTTTGACTGAGTAATAAGAATATTTCTGACAATGGGACTTGGCATGGATAACTGTTAAACCATTGATCTCCTTCAGTTCTCTATCATTTCTAAGTGTTTGCTCCCTGTGGATCTATACAGTGGGATAGCAGAGAGTCATAGAAGTATTTTTAAGCACTTGAATTTCATAGTGTATGCTTCATGGACAGAATAAAATGTATTCCTCCAGCTGTTCAAGAATGAGGGCAAGGGGGAGATAAAAAGAGAAATGAAGGCAAGACAGACTTAGATCTCAATAAATGTTGCAAACTTAGTGTACTTTTACCTCTAAATCCTTTTCCTTACCTCCCACATTTAATTCCATCAAAAAGTCCTTATATTTTCTCCTTGCTTCTAACCCATCATATCCCAGCCACCAAAGGTTTAGGATTCCACATAATGTCATGAATTGACATACACATACACACAAATCCAAGCTGAGCCTTTGGTGCTGTGAAAGAGAATTTAAACATTTTAAAATGTAAAACTAAACATATTATCTGAGGTATGGCTAGAAATAAAAACAATAAAAAAGTGCAGTGAATAGGAAAAATGTAAAAGATTTCCATATTACAAATGAGCTATAAACACATTTATAATTCATAAACAGCATAAAATGATTGCTTATGTCATATTAATTAAAATAATAAAAGTAAGAAAATATGCTCAATGCAGAGGTACTTTTAAGAAAACAAACAAAAAAAAACAAAAGTTAACAAAATATTTTATCTGCATCAAAATATTCTTTGGAAACCAAAAATAAAAATGTATCATGTATGTTCTTTCAGGTTAATCTGTAAAAGTCAGAAAAATACGTAGTCCCTGTTATTTAACTTTCCGAAAATACAAAGTTCTAAATATCCCTCAAGCATAAAGCAAAAGGCTTTATGTCTTGCTGAACTGAAGGAGTGTGCTCCCTGTATTAGTACAAAGAATTCCAGTTTCCTTCCTATCAAAAAACATTTTGTTTCAGTCACATTGAAACAAATGACGTGACTTCAATACAGTGTAAGTATAGCTGAAGCTGTGTCCAGTAATTTTTCTTCAGAACTCTGAAGACACCTATAGAAACTCCTGAGGGGAAAGAATGGTTTCTCACAAGGCCAAGAGGAATATTATCCAAAGCGAAACTTGAGTCTGTATTTCACTGAGTTGGTATTTTTCCGAGGTGCAGAAAGGGGAATCTTTGGCTTGATAGGGCTAGGTGGCTTTTTCTTTTCAGGAACAGTAACCGTGAAAGAAAGTTCTGGCTGCTCCGACTGCTTGAATCTTGGCAGAAAATGGGTAGAGATATGCTGGGGTTTAACCCGGGGGCTGCACCCTCGTTTGGCTTTTCCTCTTTTATTCAGGGCCACATACCACTCCCGCCCTGTTTTTTCAGTTCTATGTATTGCTGAGGCATAGGTATTATAGCTATTTTCTTGAAAACGCTCCCTGAACTTGCAGTCATCTGTGAACTTGGCCTAAGGAGGAGAAAAAAAGAGGAAATTTAAGTTGTGGCGATCTTTTCAGCATGTAATAAAACATAAGGTATTGTAGAAAAAAAAACAATAATTTTGTTGATCTCTGTTCCTCCTACTCAATTCCTTTTTATAAAGACATGTTTGCTTATTTTAAAGTTGCTTTAAAATTACTATTTTTCTTTCTATATTTCTACTTCATTTATCTTTGTAACACATTTCTGTTCCCTACTTACTTGGTGACATAATATCGATGACTATAAAAGTAACCAGAACTCTTGATACATTTAAACCCTGTTACTATTGTTTAAATACTTTGAAATGTATAGTTACAAATCTTTTTACATACTGTTTTTCCTCCTAACTCACTAAGAAAATAAATGGAACTATATTACTAAGAAATGATTGCCTGGTAAAATATAAATTCCTGTTCACAGAAATGAGGTCAAAATTATTCCTTTGAAACAAGCTTGCATTTTTTCAATGTTATCAGTGTGATTGAGGCTGCTGAGAGAGAAGTAGCATATGGCCCCCATTAATATTGCACGTGTTAGAGTTCTTTAGAAAAAAATAACGTATCTTTACTCAGGCATTACAGGAAAGTATATCTAACTCCAAGAAGAAAAAAGTCACTCGAGTTACTAACTACACTTTGGCCAGATCTTACACACACACAAAATATCTGCCCTTGAAATGCTTACAGAATAGTGGAAAAGCAGACAAGTAGACATCCGTCATGGTGCAGCTTGATAAATGGAATTATGACAGCGGTATGCAGAGGGTACAATGACAGCATAGAGGAAGGGCATCTAAGAGGGTGGAGGTGGCCAAGAAGAGGGCAGAAAAGTCTTCCTATAAAAGGTGACATTTGAGCTGAGTCTTCAAGTACAACTAGGAATGTTCTCTAACTAGCATTAGAGAGGAAGGCAAAATAAGAAAGGATTTTCAGGGAGAAGGAACAGGGTGTTGAAAGGTCAACATGACACTTTCAAATACCTGTAAGTAGTTCAGCGTGACCTCTACCTAGGATGCATGTGGGAAGTAAGGAGATGAGCCAGACAATGTAGGTCAGCACCAGCTCTGAAAGAGCTTAGTTTGCCATGTAGTAAAATTTGAAGGAATATGTGGGAGAATGGGGGAAGAGTGTGAACTTGGAGTCAGACATGCAATCAAAAACCAGTTCTGCCAATTAAGCTCTTAGCCTTAGCCTCCTTATCCATAACACTTACAACAATAGGGCTGTTATGAGAATCCAAAGGAGGATTCTGTAGCTTTCATCAAACTTGAAAGAGCCCATAACCCCCAAAGAA